>NC_000006.12:101737456-101888971 GCF_000001405.40 Homo sapiens | reverse complement strand
CCACAGTAGCTTAAATATGTTGAATTAGTAATGCTTTTCACTCACCAGGTTATAATCATCTGTCAAAGATGAACTTAAGCTCTAATATATTGTAAGAAATAATTACAATATTTTAAAATAATGAAAGCATCTGTGATGAGAAGCTATATTGCTACATTCATTTTATTATTAATAAATGTAAAAACTTTCAAAGAGTAAAGAACAAAATGTTCACCGTCAAGAGTTAGAGAAAGACATAAAAAAATGAAATTATCCCTCCATGTTTTCTTGTCTCAGGCAATGTCAAAGGACTTAACGAAGAAACTTAGAAAAGTTTGTTGACAATATTATTCTCTGTGTGTGTTTTTGTGCATTTGTGTGTTGGTGGTGTGCAGAGAAAGAACATTGAAATGCTTGGAAAGAGTATCTTTGAGAGGGGCTACGGAGAAAGATATTTCTCTAAAAACTAGGAAGAAAAAGGTTTTAAAAATTCTGGGGGAGAGCATCATCACATTTCATATTCATAAATCAAATAAAATATCAATTTAAAACAATAATTGCTAATATTCTTTAGGTAGCTGCTGTACAACAGCACTATGTTAAGAACTTCACAGGAATTGTCACATTCCCCATAAAACTTACATAATCCTACTATTATTTCCTGTTTCAGATAAGGAAAATGAAACCTTGCGAAGTTAGAAAACTTGTTCATTTTCATAGAGTTAATTAATCATTGGAACCAGGATATAAAGTCAAGGTGTGGGAATCTATACCTAGAGTGTAACCATGACATGCATCTCAAAAACCAACAATGGAATCATAGAAGAGTCATTCATTCATTCATTCAATAATTTGTACAGATGGAAAGGGAAATATATAGAAACAACTCTAGTGATTGATAGATTACAGTCTTTCAGAATCTAGAGGTTCAGGTGTAGAGTGCAGACAGAGGGAGTATTTTCTGCAGGAAGGAAACAGCACTTCCTCTAAGACGTAAGGGAGAAACTAAAAATTGTTTGAAAAAGTGAACAACTTTGTTAACAGAAATAAAGTAGTTGATATGGTTTGGCTCTATGTCTTCACCCAAATCTCACATTGAATTTTAATCTGCACGTGTTGAAGGTCGGGCTTGGCGGGAGGTGATTGCATCATGGAGGTGGTTTCTGATGGTTTAGCACCAGTCTTCTACTGCTGTCTCCTGATAGAGTTCTCAGGAGACCTGGTTGTTTAAAAGTGTGTAGCACTTCTCCCTTCCCCCTTCCCCCTCTCCCATGCTCTGCCACGTGAGGAGGGTGCTTGCTTCCCCTCTCCTTCCGCCAGGATTGTAAGTTTCCTGAGGCTTCCATAGCCATGCTTCCTATACAGCTTACAGAACTGTAAGTCAATTGAACCTCTTTTCTTCATAAATTACCCAGTCTCAGGTAGTTCTTTATAGCAGTGTGAGAATGGACTAATGCAGTGGTATTTTAAGAAATATAGACTTCAGGTAAAAAATGAACATAAAGTAGTAGTTTGTCTGTGTTTGGAGGGTTGACTACACAGCACAATTTATGTATGTGTTACTTCATTCTGTAACCTCCTTTCTCTTAGGCACATGAAAAGCAAAATTTTGTCACATACAAACCATATAAGCGAATATGCTATAAAGTGGTAACTTTTTATTTTTTAATTGACAGATAAAATTTTATGTATTTATCGTACACAACAGGATGTTTTGAAGTACATATACATTGTGAAATGACTAGTCTAGCTAATTAACATATGCATTACCTCACATAGTTATCATTTTTATGGTGAAAATACTACATCCACTCTCTTCTTATATAGAATATTAAAAAATTAATTTCATAGAAGTAGAGAGAAGAGGCCAGGCACGCTGGCTCACACCTGTAATCCCAACACTTTGGGAGGCTGAGGTGAGCTGATCATGAGGTCAGGAGATCGAGACCATCCTGGCCAACATGGTGAAACTCCATCTCTACTAAAATACAAAAAAAAAAATACCCAGGTGTGGTGGCACACGCCTGTAGTCCCAGCTACTCGGGAGGCTGAAGCAGGGGAATCACTTGAACCCAGGAGGTGGAGGTTGCAGTGAGCCGAGATCGCAACACTGCACTCCAGCCAGGCAACAGAGGGAGACTCTGTCTCCAAAAAAAAAAAAAAAAAAAAAAAGGTAGAAAGAAGAATGGTGGTTACTAGGGGATGGGCTGATTATAGGGGTAGCGGGAAAGGTTGTCAAGATGCTGGTCAAAGGAAATAAAACTTCAGTTGGATAGGAGAAATAGGTTCAAGAGATCTATTGTATAAAATGATTATTATAGGTAATAATATATTGCATTCTTGAAAAATGGTAAAATATTTCTAATTCATATACAGCAAAAAAGTTAGAAAAAAATTCAAATAACACATATTAAAAGAACACAGCTACATTATTCCAAAAAAGTTGTAATATAGGAATATATTAATAGGATTGAATAGTCATATATTAAATTTTAAAATTTATTTAGCATTGCTTAAAATAAAAATTCTATTCCAAATATGAAAGAGAAAAATAGAAATTATGTAATACTATAATACTTTTAATTATGAAAGATATTAGCCACTTAAAAAAAAGGATACAGATAGACACATTCAGACATTTCATTAAAAGTTTAATATACAAACAGACTGTATTACATCCATACAATGGAATAGTATTATTCATTTATAAAAATAAATGAGCTTTCAAGCCATGAAAAAGCATGGGGGAAACTTGTATGCATATTGCTAAGTGAAAGACACCAGAGAATTTAGAGGGTCAAGTTCAGAGCCTCTGAAAAGGCCATGTACTTTATGATTCCAATTATATGACATCCAGGAAAAGGCAAAATTATAGAGACAGTAAAAGATCAGTGGTTGCCAAGGATTCAAAAGAATTGAGATAGTGCTGAATATGTGGAGCACAGAAGGATTTTAGGGTGGTGAAACCATTGTGTAGGATGCTATAATGGTGGATACACATTATGCATTTATCAAAACTCATTAAAATTGTACAACACAAAGAGAGAACTCTAATGTAAACTATGGACTTTAATCATAAATGTATCAATAATAAATCATCAACTGTAACAAATGTACTACACTAATGGAAGTTGTTAATAATAGGGGAAAATGTGTATGGAAATGGAAAGGGAGGGGGTCCAGGAAAGTCTACTTTCTGCACAATTCATCTGTAAACCTCAAATTTCACTAAAAAATAAATTATATATTTTTAAATAACAATATGTTGTTTTTACCATATCCTCAGTTAGTAGATATATTGTGTTAAAACAACTTTGCTGTGTTTGCAGCCCTGGACTGGGAAGGTGGAAGGGGAAAGAAAAATGAATATCATAGTAATAGCTAGCATTAATGTGTCTATTATGAGGGAAAAATGTGCTATATTATTTGGAAGATTTTCACCTCTATTGATACTCACTACAACCCTACAAAATTTGTAGTGTGATTTCCTTTTTACAAATGAAAAACAAAACCAGAATAGCTAACCCGAAACCTGAGATCTTAAGGAAAGTATGGCTCCAAAGATGACTTAACAATGCTCATTTCCCACTATTTTTCTGTACAACCATTCAAATATATCATATCCATTTCTGTTGTTTTACTGGCTTTGTTATTTCCCTGCCCAAAATGATATTCTTTTTTCTCTAGTATTCGAATTCTATAAGACACATCTCTGGTTCTTTTCCTCCTGAATACTCTATCCACATTAATTTCTCTTCAGTGAATTTGTATATAATTTATAAACAGAATCATGTAATTTAACATGTAGCAATAATTTATGTTGTGTTATTTCTGGTTATTTCACATATAAGTCAACCAATAAGATATGAGAAATTTGAATGCACATATTATTGTAACTGTATTGTCTCAGTTCCTGTGAGAGTAAAAACACTTGAAAGCCGGCAGGCATACCCTTCGATCAAAGCATGTAACTCTAAACTGAGGGAATGGTAAAGTTTCCCTCCCTGGAAATCTAACAAAGACACCTACACAGCAGCTATCTTATTAACTTAATAAGCACTAATTTAATATTCCACCATTCTATGTGAAACTCTTCCAAATTGTCTTATTCATCTTTGTGATCATAATGAACCTAACATCCCTAAGGCATAGGATAAAATTTGACACCAAGGAACTGCTTAGTAAATGTTTGCTGAATACAGTTTCAATTTAACTTACTAAAATTTTCAAAGAAAACCACTCAGAGAATTTTTAATTGAAACTTTTTTCTAGTCTTACTCTAGAAATAAAATTTATTTGTACAATAATATAATTTCAATTGAACTAACCATCTAGATAGAACAGATTAATTCTTTTTACAGAGTTACATAACTAATAGCAATCTACTGATTATATCTTATAAAGCAATGGTAAAAATTATTGGTCTAATTTCTGGAAACTTAAACCAAAAATTAGATAACAAAGCATATCTTCATGAATGGCACAATGACTCCAAATTTGAATATGTTGTGAAGCTTTCTTCTTTATGAAGTTTCAGAAATCAAAGAACATAATGATCTTATTTTTATAATACATGATCTCATCAGTGAAACATCTTATGCATACTTCTAAAGGTTCTTGCAGTTTAACGCTGGAAAATCAGTTCTAAACGTTGTTTTCTTTTCCATGATGTTGTTAAATGCTTAATAAAATGGGTAAAATAATTAAAGTAGTAAGTTCATACGAATAAATTGGTAATATTTATTCTAACTAAGACACTTAAGCTAGTTAATTATCCATATTCAATATAATGTCACATGTAAGTAATACCACGCATTCCTAAACTCTCCACAATGCATAATGTGAACAAATAATTTGTCTCTGTGTACACTTGAAAGAAAACACAACTCAACTTCTGTACACATGGCACACCATCTCTGCCACTACCAACCTAGTCACATTGCCTGAACTCTTACAATGGACTCCAACTGGTCCCCTATTTTCATTCTTGCCCAACTAGAATCTCTTTTCTATCCTAACTCCAGAAGGTTCTTTCTAAAACACATACCAGATTACCACTTTCTGCTCAGTATCCTCCAATGACTTATAGAACATGTTTGCCTACAAAGCATTGCAAGATATGGCTTTATCAACATTAGTTCCATCATTCTTCTGGTCTTTCTCACTGTTGTTTCAACAACTCTGTCTGCCTTGCTAATCCTCAAGTGAGTGTACACATTCCTTTTTCCAGGCCTTACGCTTGCTATTCCCTCTCCCTGGAAAGCTCGTCCCTTTATACACACAAATGGCTTATTCTTTCATTTCATTCATGTGCTTGCTTTGATGTCACTTTCGCAATGGGGTTTCCAGAGCATAGTGGTTATCACATTTGCCTGACAATTACTCAAAGGGGTCTTTCCTGAACACTCATTCTATCACTCTTTATCTCCATACAGTACTTTAATTTTCTTCATGAAATGTGCCATAAACAGACATTGTCACTTGTCAGTCTTTTTCTATTAGAATGTAAGTTCCTTTTGAGTAAGGAGTTTCACTGTTTTGCCCAATTCTGTAACTCCAGTGTCTAGTACAGTGACTGGCACAAAGTAGTCACTAAACAACTATTTTTTGAATGAATAAAACTATCACTATTGCACATGGTAATTCTACCCTCAGGACCCCCTTTATTATATTATTATTATTATTATTATTATTATTATTATTTGCCAAAGAGAATACTCTTGAGGTTTGTATTTTCATTGATTTTTTTTCACCCAAATACTTCTTTTAGATTAGCTGTTGGGTCATTTTTGTTGTAAAGACCGCATAGTAGTAAAGGTAGGGATATTTAATAAAAACGTCCTTGTACTTCAACCCTCCCATCTCTCCAACAACTTCAGCCCACTGTTTCTGTTGAGGTCTCCATCTCTGGCAGCATGAATGAGAAATGCTGGATTATATGGTTAATACTGGGATCATATAAAAGGATAAAAAATAATTTTAAAAAATGAGATTTTTTATGTGCATGATTTTTAATTTTTGCTATGATAAATAATAGTCAATAACTGCTAAAATGTTTCATAAATATCTCTGTGATTAACTGTTTTAGTTATTACCATAAACAAGTTACCGCATATGGTTATGTCAGCACTCACTAGGTATTGTTTAAGAAAAAACTGATGAGATTAAAGCTACGTAAGTTTAAAATATAAAAAAATTAAACTTGTTTAAATTGTATATTTCCCATACTATACAAAATCTAATATGTATTTGCAGTTTACAAAAACATAAACTTATGTTTTAGAAATATTAATTTAGTTCATTTTCACCAAACCAAGTAGTTACCACACAGTGCCCAACAGAAAGAAAGTAAAGTGGGCAATTGAGTTATAAAATTCAGAGATTTCCCTCACACTTGTAGGGCATGAATAGGAAATCATTTAAAAAAAAAAAGTAATAGATTTAGCTGCTGCTTCAGCACCTCCTTCTTGCTAATGGTGAAATAAGCCTGCTAATAATTTCAAATAATATTGAGTAAACTTATCAAACTTGCCATTAATGACAATGAAAAATAAACTTAACTGATGTCTTCAGAATAACTATGGGTCTAAAATGTTTCTAGAGTTTTGGGGGAGGATATTAATTGTTTTAGTTTAGTTTTGTTTTATTCCCCACCCAAATCTGATTTTGTTGTGCACTCTCAATTGTATGCTTCATAAATATTAATATTTCTCTATACTAGAATTATTATAATATTTCCATGGAATAAATGTTGATATGGTTTGGCTGTGTCCCCACCCAAATCTCTTTTTAATTGTAGCTCCCTTAATATACAGGTGTTGTGGGAGGGACCCAGTGGAAGATAATTGAATCATGGGAGTGGTTTCCCCCATACTGTTCTCATAGTAATGAATAAGTCTCATGAGATCTGAAGATTTTATAAGGGGTTTCCCCTTTCACTTGGCTCTCATTCTCTCTTGTCTGCCACCATGTGAGACATGCCTTTTGCCTTCCCCCATGACTGTGAGGCCTCCCCAGCCACATGGAACTGAATTCATTAAACTACTTTTTCTTTATGAATTACCCAGTCTCAGGTATGTCTTTATCAACAGCGTGAAAATGGACTAAGACAAATTTATTTACTTATTTATTTATTTTTTAGGGACAGGGTCTTGCTCTGTCACCCAGGGTAGGGTGCAGTGGCTCAATCATAGCTCATTGCAGCCTTAAAATCCTGGGCTCAAGGGATCCTCCCACCTCAACCTCTTGGGTAGGTCAGACTACAGCCATGCACCACCACATCTGGCCAATTTTTCTATTTTTTTTTTTTTTAGAGATGTGTTCTGATAATGTTGCACAGGCTAGCTGGAATTTATATTTAATGCACTAGACAAGTTACTTTTGTTCCCTAGAAAAATATCAGTACGCAGAAATTTCCTGTTTTCTTCACAGTGATAATTCCTAAAAGACTAAACTTTTATTTAAAAATAATCTGAGATCTTGCATATCAATACTCCAAATATGTATTATTTCTATTATTATAATAGATATTACTATGTCTGTCATTTTTATTGTTCATGAGCATAGTGCTGCACTAAACAATGTTTCTAATATTTTCTGTTTCTGATTTAGCTATTACTGATTTCTTGATTCTGAAGTAATTAGCATCTTTTGAAATCACAATTTAAGTGAAAAAAGTTATTCTGCCAAAGATAATTACCTATATATAAAATATGGTGTTACATTCTATAATTATTATATTTAAACATACATAAAACCAAAACAAGGCTATTACTTAAAATGTAATGTTATTATATATTTATCAAACAAGTACTTGAAAAACATTAATCAAATAAAACACAACTATAAACAATAAAGTAAGTCCACAAAATTTTTTATGGTTATTAAATTTAAGACTTTGAAGATTGAGATGCATATATAAAAAGTTTTATTTGGCCTAAGTTTGTAGAGTGACTTCAGTACAAATACAACTCTTTTCTGAAAATAAACTACTAAGACATGAAATGAGTAAATAGTTTAGTGATTGTTTTGCTTTATTTTTAGTTGCTGAAATGAAGACAATATGTTGCATATTTTGAGGACAAGGAAAACTAAGCTCTCTTTTTATAAATATATTTTAATTGAAACAATTCAGATGGAATCTCTGATATCAAATATAAAGTAATATGTTGTGGGATGTTGTTAGCTACTATGTTTGAATGCTACCAATTCTTATTATTCTCATATGTTCATGCAGTTTTTCCAGGAATAAAATGAAGTAATAATCAATCAAATTACTCTTCTGTTTAGATATAAAAATAAGACTTGGAACTAAGACAAAATTATAAAAATGTTAAATATCCCTAATTTCAGAAGGTAATTATCATCCCTTCACTAGTTAAAAGAGTTCATATAAATATATCTCATAGTAAAATACAGTAAATTTCTATTTTCTCGACTGTGAAATAATATGACAGAATCTATTAATCAGTATCCACTGATAGACTTGGCAGAGTAAGAATGTCAAGATATTTAAACATGATCCCTCCCAGAGCTTATACACAACTCTTTGAAGCAAGAAATACCCAGAGAAACTATAAGAACACAATAAATTATATAAGCAAGAGATCAGTGGAGTGGTTAGGAGAAGATTTATGGAATATTTGAGATAACTTATGAGTGAGAAAGAGCAATATAGCAGTAAATAAACACAGATTCTGAACTCATTAGTGACCCAAACTGTCCAATTAGCAGCCACAATGTTTTTCTATATTTGGTTACCCCAAAGAAGGGTATATTTAATCTGCTAGTCTGATGAGCAAACCAAATATTCAGGTCACTGGAAACAACTCAAGGATCATAGCTAGACATAAGAATAGCCTTGAGTTCTGCCCACTAACCAGAATGATCACATTCAGTTTAGTTTTTGTGTAGTTGGCTCTGACACTAGATAGCCACAGTAGTCCAAGGGACAACATGATGTTTCAACTTGTCGGTTATTTAAAATAAGCCATATGAATCTAGGGCCCTATTGAGTCAGCAGTTTTATTTTTAGGCTATGGGTTGGTGGACAAAATTTCCTCCAATTTCTTGTAAAGTCAAAACGTCACTGATGCCTGTCTGGCTGAGTTTTTGAGTTTCACTGCTTGAAATCGTGAGACCTCACTTTCCATTTGAAAGTGAACTTCTGTGGTCCAAGTTTACCTACCCCGAAATAGGAGTATCAGCCCATAAAGGCACACAGTTTCTGGAGTTCTGGGGCTACTTATTTTCATGCTAATACAGCTTCTTCCAGTTGCCCAACTCAGGGGTTGGATGGGGTAAAAAAAAAAAAATGTAGTGAGATCAACCAAATTAACAAGCAAGCAGAAATGATTTGAATTTTCAGATTATTGATATAATTGTCGCTGTCCTTTAGGTTATGATCATGACTATGATGTGACTTTAGGACTAGGTGGCTGAGAGGTTCAAGAACCCAAGAAGCATAGAGTCCAGGGTAATGGATGAGTCTTCCGTAAGGACACTGAATTCAAATAAAACTATGAAATTGGCTCTCTTAAAGTGAAAGGCTATGAGTCCATTCCCAAAATAAATGGTGCATATGTAATTGTGATCAGAAAGTGAGTAGGTGATAACATAAGAATGAAAGGAATGGTATATCCAGAGAAATGAGCCTCAAAGAAGCATGTATTTTTTTCTGGGTTCTAGAGAAACCATGAATTAAAACAGCAATGGGAAATAGGTTAAGCATTAGGGCTATTTAACTACATTCCACTTTGTCTTTCTTTGTGTACATGGAATATTGTACTCTTTTCTTACCTTTAAGTTGAGCACAGTAATATGGTTTACCTTGATCAAGGAATGTAAGCAGAAGTTGTGTACTTTCACTTCTGCAAAGAAACTTTTGAGAGACGGTCTGCAGTTCACCATGTTCTCTCATTTCGCTTCCCAGAAGTAAAAGCACACCACGTGGTAGTGGCTCCATCAGCCTGAGTCCTTGAGTGAGAAAATATGGAACAGAGCCTTCAGCTGACCTATGCTTTATAAGCAGTGTTAATGAGAAACAATCTCTGTAGGTATAAACTACTAAGATTTTTGAGTTTATAACAGTAAAATAATCAGTACATACTGCTTGATCCAGGTAGTCAAAAGAATCTGAACCAGACTCTTAAAATAAGTGGAGTGTGAGAGACAGAGCAGCCAGCACTGGCAGAGCTACGGAATGAGCAGTTTGAATAGAAGAGAAGTGAAACAAGATAGCAAATAATGAAGAAAGATTAGGAATGAAGGGAGATTACTCATAATGGAGGACACTGAGAATTCAGAGACGATAACGAATGACTTGTAAGAGAAAGCGTGATAAGTCAGAAAGTCAACAGAGCTCAATGTGTTCTGGAAATAAAAATACAGAGAGAGTTAAACAGACCAGAGAGTCTCAAAATTGTTTAAAATATCTAATAGTAATAAATTTGTGAGGTATATTGTGTTTAGATTAACACAGAATCTTTTAATGTTTAAAACAAAACACTACTGGGAATACAAATGGCAATTTCTCATGGCCTCCCATGTAATTCTCAGACACACTGATATTTTATGAAGGGGATCAGTTACCAACCTTCTATTCTTCCTTCACTCTAATTTTATATGCACTAGACTAAATAGAAAAAAAAACTTGACACTTTGAAGGCTCCATCCCTAGATTCCATTGAGAATGCAAACTTTTACTTATTTGTTTACTCTATTGATAATTTCCATGGGAAATTGGGTAAATGGTTGAGGAAGTGAGATGCCTGAGTTTATGTTTTCATTTATATCAGAAATTTTGCTATTATTTCCATCAAGAAAAAAATACAAATGACAGCTAACATTTATTCAGTACATTAATATAATATAATATAATATAATATAATATAATATAATATAATATAATATAATATAATATACCTGGCACGATTCTAAGCACTTCATACATTTTAGGTCATTTAATCATTACTATGAAGTGTGTGCTTTCATCAATGCCCTTTTTTAAGTGAGAGAAGTGAGGCTCAGAGAACATAACCAAGTTGTCTAAGATCACACTTCAAATAAAGAGTGGAGGGAGATTTGAAAACTTGGCTGATTCCCAAGTCATTCTACAGGTTACAGTTACAAAGCCTTTTAAAAAACAAAATACATTTGATGGACTGTTTATCTCTCCACATAGAATGAAAATGTATTAAGGAACAATGAATTGAAAAATAGAGCTCAACAAAAAAAGCAAACATAGATGTATCAGTTCCTTGCTAAGTTATCAAAGTTAATATTGACATTTAAACATGAGTTGTTGTCCTTGACAAAATACTGAATCTTAGTCTATTCAAATACTTATTTTGTACTCAGATGTTTTTATTCTTTTAAAACTATTTTTAACGTACATATACACACATAAATGTCATATTTGTATAGTCATCTGTTGATATCCAGGGGAAATGGGTTTCAGGGCCCCTGTCGAATACCAAAATTCATCGGTGCTCAAATCCTTTATATGAAGTATATAGTATTTGCATATAACCTATGCACATCCTCCTGTATACTTTAAATCATCTCTAGATTGCTTATAATAATTAAGTCAATGTAAATGCTATGTAAATAGTTGTTATACTGCATTGCTTAGGGAATGAAAAGCAAAAAATAGTCTGCATGTTCAGTACAGACACAACTATCCTTCCCTAGCCCTGGTATTTTCGATCCCTAGTTGATTGAATCTGGAACCCAAGGATAAAGAGGGCCAACTGGCCAACTGTATGTATTCATAAACATCTATATGCATATATACTCTACATATATATGTGAAGTATAAAAACATAAACATAAACATATATATATGTGTGTGTGTGTTCGTCTGTGTTTAGTTGTAACATTGCACCAATTACTTTAGGAAAACTATGAAGCTCATTTGTTTCTTAAGTGGCCCATAATTTGTATAGAGGGAATACAAAAGCATATCAGAATGCTAGTATTATTATTTGTATGCATATTACATACTCTTTTAATTAACAAATTCAACTTCACCTGTTATGACAAACCATAACATAAGAAGCTTATGTATAGAGATGTAGGGGAATGAGTCCATTTATAATAACATACCTAGAAGTAACATACTGTTGACTTAGTGTAGTGAAATAACCTAAAAATACTGGCCACAAGATTCATTATAAATCAAAAAGTTCTTTACACAATGACTGATTGATTTGAGAACAGAAGGATGCTGGGTGTTTTGTTACTAAGGCTATTTCTGGCAGTCATCCAGGAATTACAACTGCACAACCTTACAAACAGCATAGAAATTGACTATTTTAACAAAGGGTCTCACCAGGATAATGAGTAGTGCACATTAAATCTCACTGTGCATTGATAAGCTCTCTTTGAACTTTGCTAAGCTTCCAACAATGGTGACAGGCCTCTGGCACTTTCAGAATAAGTGGGCCCTGAATGGTGCTGCAGGGATGAGGTTTTGTGTGTGTGTGTGTGTGTGTGTGTGTGTGTGTGTTTGTTTTTGTTTTCTAAGGAAACCATATTTTAATCATTTAGACTTGTTTTCATTTCTAATTAGATCTGGGTTCTTAAGAAAACTTGTGAAATACCAGAAAGGAATCTATCACAATTATTATTTATAAAAAAGGATCCAGATTCTTTTTTAGATTAATCTTTAATGTTGTATATTTAGGTCCTAAGGTAAGAAAAGCTTCTGCAAACATTTTAAAGACATTATAAGGAGGAAAAATGTACAGGTTAGGTTATATGAAATGTGTAACACTTCATTTTAGCCTACAAAAATGACAATTTCGTGTTTCAAACTAATTTTACTATTTACATAATTAACAGGCTCACCTAAACATGTTTTCTTCTTAAATTTTGACTTCCTAAATACAGGCTTCTGATTTTATGTGAACTCAAATTAAGTTTTTATTTGTAATGTTGATCCCAAGATGAGAGATCTTTACACACACACACACACACACACAAACACATAAACACACAATATATATGTAATTCTAGAAGAAAACAGGACTCCACAGAAGACTGTCTATAAGAAGAAATAAATAATAAATGGCAAGTAAAGCAAACAAGTGTGTAAAATATGTTCAATCTAAACACGAAAGAATCAGATTAGAACTAATATAATAGCAGATGTCAGCAGAATGGTTGATCAGTCTAAGCTTCCTAAGGTCCTTGTATTGTTTGGAAGAAGGGTAAAATATTGGTTATCAATATCTTGTTAACTTTGCTGGTTAAAATTTCCATAAAAACCCCTAAAGAATAAAGAGAAATAAAGCTTATAACTTCCAATTAATGGAGGGGAAAAAACAATGAGTCAAAAGAAAACTCATTCAATGTAAAAGAAGTAAAGAGAAAAACAAGAAGAAAGCAAATTTAGAAAACAGAAATGAAATTTTCATCAGAAATAAATAATTACTGTGTTACTACTTTCTTAAGTTAGGAAAAGTAGTTATTTCTGTAAAAAAAAAATAGCCTACTCAATTGCACTGTAACATCTTTGAGACATTTCTGTTTTGGCTGAGCAGATATATGATGGTCTACCAAGCAAAATGAAAGAAAAAATAGTATGTGTAGATTATTATCTCTAAGAAAGGATGCTCCGATTCTAAATGACTAGCGATAGTACTTAAAAAGAAATACCCCCAAGATAAAGGACAAGAGATCTCTTATTGAGGTTTTGTCCTTGGTTTCTTGTCCACCGATTTGTAAATTGGCTTCTAATTGCACCTATCAACAAGGATTAAGAGGAATGGGAAACACTCATCCTTGTTACACTCAGATTAAAAATTAATGTCCAGTTTACACAAGGCAGGGATGCCCTCTCTCACCACTCCTATTCAACATAGTGTTGGAAGTTCTGGCCAGGGCAATCAGGCAGGAGAAAGAAATAAAGGTATTCAATTAGGAAAAAAGGAAATCAAATTGTCCCTGTTTGCAGTGACATGATTGTATATCTAGAAAACCCCATCATCTCAGCCCAAAATTTCCTTAAGCTGTTAAGCAACTTCAGCAAAGTCTCAGGATACAAAATCAATGTGCAAAAATCACAAGCATTCTTATACACCAATAACAGACAAACAGAGAGCCAAATCATGAGTGAACTCCCATTCACAATTGCTTCTAAGAGAATAAAATACTGAGGAATCCAACTTACAAGGAACGTGAAGGACCTCTTCAAGGAGAACTACAAACCACTTCCCAACGAAATAAAAGAGGAGACAAACAAATGGAAGAACACTCCATGCTCATGGATAGGAAGAATCAATATCGTGAAAATGGCCATACTGCCCAAGGTAATTTATAGATTCAATGCCATCCCCATCAAGCTACCAATGACTTTCTTCACAGAACTGGAAAAAACTACTTTAAAATTCATATGGCACCAAAAAAGAGCCTGCATTGCCAAGACAATCCTAAGCCAAAAGAACAAAGCTGGAGGCATCATGCTACCTGACTTCAAACTATATTACAAGGCTACAGTAACCAAAACAGCATGGTACTGGTACCAAAACAGAGATATAGACCAATGGAACAGAACGCAGCCCGCACAAATAATACCACACATCAACAACCATTTGATCTTTGACAAACCTGACAAAAACAAGAAATGGGGAAAGGATTCCCTATTTAATAAATGGTGCTGGGAAAACTGGCTAGCCATATGTAGAAAGCTGAAACTGGATCCCTTCCTTACACCTTATACAAAAATTAATTCACGATGGATTAAAGACTTAAATGTTAGACCTAAAACCATAAAAACTCTAGAAGAAAACCTAGGCAATACCATTCAGGACATAGGCATAGGCAAGGACTTCATGTCTAAAACACCAAAAGCAATGGCAACAGAAGCCAAAATTGACAAATGGGATCTAATTAAACTAAAGAGCTTCTGCACAGCAAAAGAAACTACTATCAGAGTGAACAGGCAACCTTCAGAATGGGAGAAAATTTTTGCAATCTACTCATCTGACAAAGGGCTAATATCCAGAATCTACAATGAACTCAAACAAATTGACAAGAAAAAAACAAACAACCCCATCAACAAGTGGGCAAAGGATATGAACAGACACTTCTCCAAAGAAGACATTTATGCAGCCAAAAGACACATGAAAAGATGCTCATCATCACTGGCCATCAGAGAAATGCAAATCAAAACCATAATGAGATACCATCTCACACCAGTTAGAATGGTGATCATTAAAAAGTCAGGAAACAACAGGTGCTGGAGAGGATGTGGAGAAATAGGAACACTTTTACACTGTTGGTGGGACTGTAAACTAGTTCAACCATTGTGGAAGACAGTGTGGCAATTCCTCAAGGATCTAGAACTAGAAATACCATTTGACCCAGCCATCCCATTACTGGGTATATACCCAAAGGATTATAAATCATGCTGCTATAAAGAAACATGCACATGTATGTTTATTGTGGCACTATTCACAATAGCAAAGACTAGGAACCAACTCAAATGTCCATCAATGATAGACTGGATTAAGAAATTGTGGCACATATACACCATGGAATACTATGCAGCCATAAAAAAGGATGAGTTCATGTCCTTTGTAGGGACATGGATGAAGCTGGAAACCATCATTCTCAGCAAACTATTACAAGGACAAAAAACCAAACACCACATGTTCTCACTCATAGGTGGGAATTGAACAATGAGAACACTTGGACACAGGAAGGGGAACATCACACACTGGGGCTTATTGTGGGGTGGGGGGAGGGGGGAGGGATAGCATTAGGAGATATACCTAATGTAAATGAGGAGTTAATGGGTGCAGCACACCAACGTGGCACATGTATACATGTATAACAAACCTGCACGTTGTGCACATGTACCCTAGAACTTAATGTATAATTTAAAAAAAATTAATGTCCAGTTTAAAAATCACTTGTGTTTAACTACCTCAATACTTCCTAAATAAATGCATAATAAGCATTGGGGACCTATATAACTAAGATTCAGAACCAGAATCAAGAAATCTTCACTATGGTATCACTGTCATTTGCAGCTCTGCTAAGGAGTGAACCCTGCTTTAAATATGTTCAATGTTTTTCTCAGTTCATAAAGCTCGGCTCATAAATCAGCTTATTATCAACCTATAATTTAAAATTCTGACTTTCAAAGGATTTAAATTCTCATTGAAAACAGACATAAAATTACTTAATCTATTTAATATTTGTGTAGAAAACAAACATAATTTATGTGAGGAATTATGGAGTAAGTAAATGATAATAGGGAATAAGATGAAAAAGATGAGATACAATGTGAGGTGAGTACATGCTATTCAGAGGGGATGGGAAGGGGGAATTATTGATGAGTGCTCATTTGAACCTACAAAGAGGTGAAAGAATAAAACTGATGGTAATATGGTTTGGCTGTGTCCCCACCCAAATCTAATCTTGAATTGTGGTTCCTATAATGCCCATGTTCGGTGAGTGGGACCAGATGGTAGGTAATTCAATCATGGGGGTGGTTACCCTCATGCTATTCTCATGATAGTGAGTGAGTTCTCATGATCTGATGGTTTTATAAGGGACTTTTCCCTGCTTTACTCAGCATTTTTCCCTGCTGCTGCCATGTGAAGAAGGACATGTTTGCTTCCCCTCCACTAGGATTGTAAGTCTCCTGATGCCTCCCCAGCCATGTGGAACTGTGAGTCGATTAAACTTCTTTTCTTCATAAATCACCCAGTCTCAAACAGTTCTTTATAGCACTGTGAGAATGGACTAATACAGTAAATGGTTACTGGGTTAATGTTGGCCACATTTCTAGGTCAAACCATGAATAAGAAATTGGATAGACACGAATTTTATATTCCTGGGTGATTGCAATGTGAAGTATACAATTATTATGAAAACCACATTGAGATACCATCTCACATCAGTCAGAGTGGCCATTGTTAAAAAGTCAACAACAACAAAAAATAACTGATATTGGCAAGGCTGTGAAGAAAAAGGAACACTTATAAACTGTTGGTGGGAATGTCAGTTAGTCCAGCTGCTGTGAAGAGCATTTTAGAGATTTCTCAAAGAACTGAGTTGAACTATCATTTGACTCACCAAATCCTTTGGATTTACACCCAAAGGAAAATAAATTGTTCTACCAAAGAGATACATTCACCTGTATGTTCATCACAGAACTATTCACAATAGCAAAGACAAGGAATCAACCCAGGTGCTCATCAACAATGGATTGGATAAAGAAAATGTGGTACATTTACACTATGGAACTCTACGTAGCCATAAAAAAGGACAAAATCATGCCTTTTGTGGCAACAAGTGTGTAGATGGAGGCCATTATCCTAAGCGAACTAATGGCCAAAAAAGAAAACCAAATATTAGATGTTCTCACTTATAATGGGAGCTAAACATTGGGTACACATGGAAATAAAGATGAGTACAATAGACACTGGGGATTACTAGAGTTGGGGCAAAGGGGGCAAATGTTGAAAAACTACCTACTGTGTGTGATGCTCACTATCGGGGTTATGGGATCATGCACACTCCAAACTTCAGCATCACACAACATAGCCATCTAATAAATCTGCACATGTAACCCCTGAATTTAAAATAAAAGTTAGAAAAAGAAGACACTTCATGAAATACTTTTAAAAAAATAAATATATAAATAGAATGATTATGAAAGCATCAAAACAGACATGAAATTTTCATCTAGAGTTTGGTTTATTCTCACTGTCCTTTCAAAGAGTAAATACATGTAATACATTCTAGAAATGATCCATCCAAAAAGATTTTATTAAGATGTTTAAAAGATAAACCATGTGTTGCCCAGGATGACTTTTTCTTCACATGCTGATGCTAAAATCTTTACTTTTATATTGATTATACTTTTATTACAGCATGTACTATATTTCCTTTCTGCTCCTGCCTGACAAAAATGCTATTTTTGATAGTGTATATAGGTAATCAAATCTCATTTGAAGTACGCCAATATAATTGGTAAAAATTCTGATTTTTGTGTATGTTTATTTTGCAGGATTTAAAGATAAAACTTCTTTGTCCAAGTGTCTTACCCTGTTTTTCAGAACACGTGCTCTCAAATTATCTCATCGTCCAATATATCTGACAGTATCTGCTTAAGAAATACTTGAAAATGACTTTTTATGAGTCTATGTTTTAAATATTATGTGTTTCAGAATGCCTTTATCTATTATTCGATAGCTATGACATAGTGCTCTACTTCAAAACTCTGTTAATAAGTTTACCAACTTTACCCAATTTTTTTTTCTGAAGGAAAGTGTGATAATATTATAGCTATGGTTTCAAGTAATCACACGTACAATGTAAAGTTAATTGCACTCCTTTAGTGTGGAAAGAAAAAAAGGGTAGGTGGATAATTTATATCTACCCATTTATTTGGTAGATATTTATTGACCATCTTGACTACGTGTAAAGCATTGTGGCAAGTGCTATGAAAGATACCAAGAAAATCAAATCATTCCTGCCTCAAACAAGACATTGACACCTACACAGAGGAAACAAAACATGTACATCAATAAAATATAATGCTTGGGAAAATCCATTTGTGGCATATTCCTGATTATAAGTAGTTTTATACATTGAATTGGACAAACTGGCCTGGATGGAAAAACAGGATTTATGCATTCAACAAACACTCATTTTCTACTGTGTATTAAGCATCATGCTAAGTCCTAGAGATATAGTTACTGCCCTCCCACAGCTTATATTCTAACTAGGAAAGGACCTTAATGATGTATGTATTGAAAGCCACAAAGTAAAATGAGAATATTTTAAATCTAAATGTTGGTAAAAGCAAATTAATCTACAGTGAACAAAGATAGTTTAGTAGATTACAAGGTATCAAAATCATTCATTTTCATGGAAGTGAAAATATAAGGACATAAAGGATAGTTTAATGCTGTTTAATATTAAACTAAATACTGTCACATAAATTCATAATTGAATTTTTAGTTGAATAAGTCCTGTACCTACTGGACTAGCCCAAATTGGGCCTGCTTAGTTGGTAACAAAATGTTGAGTTACCTTTCAGATATAATAAAACCAAAATCTGCAGTTCATGTAGCCTAGGCATGCACAATAGAAAAAGCTTTGATCTCTAACAACACCCAAAACCAATCAATATTCCCCTCTATACCGGTAAAACTGGGACATGACTGGAACCTGAATACTAAAACTCTTTCAGAAGCAAGGGGTCCCTAACTTGAGGAGACAGATTTGAATCCACTCCTGTCTCCTTGCTGACTACTTGCCTATTCGAAAAAAGGCAAATAAAGCCCTTTTTTCCTCAAAAGCCAGTGTTTTGTGCACACTGGACAGTGAGACTATTTGCTCTATAATGGTCCCACAGACATTACTTCTGATTTTCAATGATCCAAATTGGATAATGTTTAAAAAATACAAAAGACTTGATCAGATGACTATCATAATAAAATACGTAAAAAATAAACTCCAGTTCAGTGGCCATATCTTTTGCAAACTGAATTTCCTAGAAGAGCCACAAAACCTTAAAATGCAATTAGATGTGATCAGGAAATTATATGGATGAAGGCACATGATTTTGGCACAAAACAACAGTGGTTAATGTTAGTGTAATTACATATTAGCATACCAATACATTTTCAATAAATTCTTCTTAATTGAGAAAACTAGATCTATTTTCTTCTTAGGAGAAAAGATGTGAAAACTTTCTTTATGTTAATTCTCCCTCCGCAAATTGTCTGAATCATATCAGTTCATTTTAAATTGAATTGGCTTTCAAAATATTTAAATAAACCTGACCAAGTACACCGTTTTGGTCACGTGTGGTGTTACATAAGATAACATCCCTCAGGTAGAATACGTGCTTCAATTAAATGAACTGCAGCACTAAAAATAGTGTATTTGAAAAAGCATCTGTCATTTTTTTCATAATTCAAGCTTAAAGACTTCCCTGACCCTTTCCCTTGACAAAATTAGATATACTCCCTCATGTTTCCCAAAATATTTTCAGAATATCTCTATTGTTGTACTATCTAAAGTATATAAAATGTATTTAATGTTCATCTCACCCAGGGTTTGTATGTTTCTCAGTACCTAAAAATGTGAATGGCACAAAAATGCTTAATGAATAATACTGAATTTTTTTCCACATGGGAATATCATGAAGAATATCTTATTTGAGCAATTTTTTTCTGAAATTTCTATTACTCAAATTTACTTTGAAAAGAAACTTTATGCAATTTAATGTGAAAGGAAAATCCAGTCACACTGAACAAATTTCTATAGCATTAATACATTTCATGCTATGATTTTCCTTTTTTTAATTTTTTAAAGTTTTGTGGGGCTTTTTTGTCTTTCTGTTTAGATTTGCTCTATGCTCTAAAGAAAATATCACCTTTAAAAAAGCCACTTTTTTATATCTGTTTTCAGTTACATTTATTCTGCTGTTATGGTAGTAATAGATGCAAATCAGTATTTATTATTTAATAACACACAGATGTTCCATATACCACAGATAAACAAATTTTTCGGCCCACTGCTTCAATAGTGTCATTGTAAATTTACTATTTAAATTACATACAAAATTTTTATTACTGACTTTAAATAATACTAGATTTTGGACATGCTTCCTCACAGAATTCCCTTGCCCTTAATTTATATTTCTATTTTCATTTTTACATACATTTTGTTTGAGCGATGAAATTCCCAATTTCACGCCTCTTCTACTCCAAACTGTTTTTCTTTATTTAAGAAGACATTGAAGCTTTTTTTTTTTTTAAGAAGCATTTCCTGACTACAGTAAGGAAAAGTTTCAATGCTCTGTACTGCATAACAAATTAGTTGCTTCCAGTTTGTAGGGGCAAAATTATTAATAGGATGGATAGGAGTGTCCAGAAGTCTCCATTTATAGAGGTCTCTATAATGTCAATTTAGTATTTTACTTTCTCTCAATCTTCAAATTATGACCAAAACATTTTTTACAGACATTTTAAGTAGCTTAAGTTCAGAAGTCATATTTAAAGGAACTTAATAGTGTACATTGGGGGTATTTATTCAATAATTCATGATACAATTGCCAAATAAAATAATCCTTAGCTCTGGTTTTTGCTATAATTTTGCAATTAATAGCAAATTAGCAGAAGATTGTTATTAGGGAAACAATTTCTTTTAAGTATTCTCAGAATACATCACAGCAAAAAAAAATTTAAATTTAAAAATATATATAAATATTTCTAAACATAATATTAATTTTGGAACTGCATGAGAAGACATTCTTTATTATATTAGTACTGAAAGAAAAATTAAACACTTAACATACCTTTTTTAATAAAATATAGTCATTTATATTTGAGAACTATTATTACTGCTGTGGTTACTGTGTGTTTCTCAGAATATATATTCAATAAATGGTTGTTGAGGCTCTATCCTGGGATAATTTCTAATGAATCATAATCTAGTATAGCATAAATCAGAATTACACTGATCTGTGATAGACCATGTTTCTGGATTAAATTTCAAAATATCCTTGTCACTGAAACCAGTTTGTTTATATCTTCAACAGCTCACTGTTTAAATTCACGTTGAGAAAAAAAGTTTAAAAATATATTAGCCCTTTTAAAAAATGTTATATACTTTTCATAATTCCTAATGTCTCTATCGTCTGAGATTATAATCACAGAATGTCTCCTTAAAAGTAAAAATTACTTGCTTTTCAAGTTGCTTTTTTACAAAGAAGAGAAAATTACTGGCATACATGTTGTAGCAGAATTTGGTGTGTTGGGGGGAGGTACTGCTTCAGAAAGGGCGTAAAAGGAATTCAGGCTTTCACTTAAGTTGAGGTCCAATCAGTATGGACTTAATAAACAAACCACAAGTGGATGAAAGAACTAAATCTGAGAAACAAAAACATTAAGAATATTAAAAAATAGGAAAATATCTTTTTGAGCTTCAGTTAAAAAAGAATTTTTCCAACAAATCACAAACATCACAAGCCATTTAAAAAATGACTAAATGTGACAAACTAAAACTTTAAAACTTCTATATGAAAACACACACACACACATTCACACACACACACACACAATGAAATTAAGAGATAAAGTCTTAGCTGGGGAAAATATTTGCATTATAGGCATTCAGAAAATATAATAAATTACTATATGTTAATAAGAAGGAATGAAGTAAATGGGGAATTCAAAGAAGGGGAAATTAAAAAGCCTATAAATATGGAGAAAAAGAATGGCTAGTTATGAGTATCTGAAAATTAAAGCAATTTGATTCTATTTGTCCCCAGACTATTTGACCAAATTCAAATAGTCTAATGTACTCTAATAGTCTAGTCTAAATGTCTAATCTCAAGTACTAATGATTTTGCAGAGGAATAGAAATTCTTATAAACTATTGGTAGAAATGTAAATTAGTAAAAATTTTTTGGAGAAAAATCTTTTTAATATCTAATGAAATTTGTTTTTCGGATGAGGTTGCTAACAAAATTGGAAAGAAAATACATGAACTATGATAAACAATTCCTTGTTCATATATTTCACATATTTATGGGGTACATGAGATGTTTTACTACAGGCATGCAATGTGAAATAAGCATATATTATGGAAAAGCTTTTGCATAGGTGCTATGGAAGATAAGATGTGCATCTTCAATTATAGCATTTTGAATGTTTATCAGTAGAAGACTAAATAAAAATGATATAATCCTGTTACATGGTACTATTGAACAATTTTGGTTACACCTGGAGAGGGATGAGGAAAATGTAGTTTTATATTTTATGACTGATGTGGAAAATACTAAATCAAGACAATTATGGTGAGGAAGGCACTTCAACATTATCTGTAATATTTTATAACTTTTACATTAAAAGAGACACTTGAAGCAAAGTTAACAAATATGTTAATAGTTGTCACTTTGGGGTCATAGGAAATTATAAATTTATACTTGTGATTTTAGTTGTTTTTGCCAACATTTTAAAAATACAATAATAATAGTGTTTCTACTCCCCAACAGTTTTTATTTGTTGTTGTTGGTTGTAATTTTTTTTTATTATTTGTATTTCTTTCTTTTTTTTTTTTCTTTTTTTTTGAGACGGGGTCTCACTGTGTTGCCCAGGCTGGAGTTTAGTGGCGTGATCTCAGCTCACTGCAACCTCTGCCTCCCAAGTTCAAGTGATTCTTGTGCCTCAGCCTCCCAAGTAGCTGGGATTACGGGAGTGCACCAGCACACCCAGCTAACTTTTTTGTATTTTTAGTAGAGACGGGTTTTCACCATGTTGGCCAGGCTGGTCTTGAACTCCTAACCTCAGGTGATCTGCCCACCTTGGCCACCCAAAGTGCTGGGATTACAGGTGTGAGTCACGACGCCTAGCCTTTTTGTTTATTTTCACAAGAAGTACTAGAGTTCCTCAACTAGGATGCAAAATTAAACAATGTGCTGTCAAAATTTAAAGCTATGGCTGTGCAAGTCAATTCCCATTTAGAATAAACTGCTTTTGATTTAGTGTTTCCATTTTTGTGATAATACCTGGAGCCTTTTTAAGTTCCCTGAAAAACAAATATTTGATTTCCTTTCCAACATATAATAAAAGAGCAATCAGGAGGCAAAAGCAAAGTGTAGTGAGGTCCTCCAAGGCTCATTTATGAATCATAAAAGGCTTGATAATATTAAATACCAATTGCAATGCCAAGGCAGCAAGCTGGGAAGCATTCAGACAGCTGGAAATCTGTGGCATCGTGAGTCTTCTTAAAAATAATGTAAAATACTGAATTAGATTCCAACAGACTTCCCATTTTACTATAGTTGTTTTCTAAGCTGAAACAGAATTTCTTTCTCATTCCGGTTTTTTAAGAAAACCTGTCAAATGATCAAGTTTTGTTTACTTCTCAAATTTCACAATTGAAGCTACAAAAATGAACATAATTTAAAAAGTAAGCATTTATTGCCCGATGCACTCTTTTACCTACATCAAATGGTTAATTATATTAAAACACAAATCTCTTTAAAGACAAAGAAGTTGTAAAGATGTTTGGCACTTATAAAAGAGCTAAACTTTAAATGTTACTATTTAGATAACTTCTCATAGTCCACACAATTCTAATGGGGTAAAGGAATGGATAATGTGGCTTTAAAAATCTGTTTTTAAATGCCCCTTTTCTCTGATAACATTATAGCACACATTTAGTCAATTATTTGTTTTAAATATAATCATGGTTCAACAGTAATCCTGTAAACTAGCTCATGGGGTTGAATAGACAAAATATAGCAACATTCAAAAACATTGGCACCTTTTTGGATACATTAACCATAATAATAATTTTAATAGTAATAATAATAATAACTACTTTTCTTGAGTATTTCCTATTTGCCACTCAGCACATTAAGGCCTATGCAATGCATTCATGTCCCAACTTAGAGTTTACTTCTCAAATCTGATTTGAAAACCCATTAAGTAGCTCAGTCTTAGAACTGTTTGTATGCTGTTTCTTTAGTTGCAACCCAGGTTAAGTAGCAGTTTTTTGACTAGGGCTCAGGTTTTAAAAAGGAAAAATTTGTATTTATAGGCATGAGATTATCCATCAGTGCCAGGAGCTTTTCATACACTGAAGCATGAGGGGCCTAATATCTACAGAGGGATCTGCATCACTGTCCTGAAGCATTTAAATTTTTCCTACTTCCTGTCATTACGTTTTTCCTTCTGTTGTGTCTCCTCCAAATATACCCAAACTCTGCTGTCTCACTGATGTATTTAACTAAGTTAAAGAAGGCTATAGTCCTGCTCTATTCTCAGATATTAACATTTAATCCACATCTTCTTTTTTTTTTTTTTTTTTGAGACGGAGTCTCGCTCTGTCGCCCAGGCCGGACTGCGGACTGCAGTGGCGCAATCTCGGCTCACTGCAAGCTCCGCTTCCCGGGTTCACGCCATTCTCCTGCCTCAGCCTCCCGAGTAGCTGGGACTACAGGCGCCCGCCACCACGCCCGGCTAATTTTTTGTATTTTTAGTAGAGACGGGGTTTCACCTTGTTAGCCAGGATGGTCTCGATCTCCTGACCTCATGATCCACCCGCCTCGGCCTCCCAAAGTGCTGGGATTACAGGCGTGAGCCACCGCGCCCGGCCAATCCACATCTTCATTCAATGAAGTGAGTATCATTATTCCCATTGTATAAATGATATAAGTCACTCAAGACAGAGTAAGAAACTTTCCCAAAGCTACACAGGAGAGTAAGAGAAAGAGAAAAGTTAGACACACGGTGCCCAAATTTGCACAGTTAAGAAGTAACTGTAGATCTGTTGAATGTGAGTACTCAGTATTCCCTCACACATTTTATCAGCATTATGACAGTAGGTCAGAGATTCACCAGCAGAACACTGGCTTAAGGATATTCTGAAATTTTGCCTCCAGCTGGGATTAGTCTGTGTGAAAGATGAAAGGACAAAGAATTTCAAGTAATAAGGAATGTCTATGATTAAGTGCCAGAGGTAGTAGTTTTATAGGTGTCGAAGAAAGTAGGCTTTTCAGAAGAATAAAATGGCACAAAAAGCTTTTTGGAGTACAGCCCCAGCAGAGAACTCTGGGGATGGACATTAAACAGTTGACAAGAGGAAAGAACTGAGGACTGTGCAAACCATCAGGTGTCAGGGGACTATGAAAAAGAAATTAAAGGCCAACATGAGTACTTGAAATTATATACTGTAATCTTTCAGTATCTCTGCAATGATTTCAGTGAGAAAGCTTTGAGATAACATTGCTGATTAAATGAAAATCTGACTAAAATGTATATATGCATTCCTGGAGATGATATTAAAGGCAGGAAGTATATAATAGAGACATAATAAAATGGCAAACGTATGAGCTACATGGGCGGTGAAAAACTAAAGATGGGACAGATCTGAGATTTATTTTCAACCTGCCCCTACAGAAGATTATGAATGCAGCAAACTGATATGATAAAATAGCATCCTAATTTAGATTCAAATCAGTTTGATAACTTTCAAAAGTTATCAACTTTTTATAGCTAACCAAAAAATTTCAAGTCATCAATCACCAATCATCATAAAAACTCAAAAGATGATCAGCCCAATGGAAAATCTGCTAGGACTGAAAGAGTAGATTATTAGTACATAAAGGAAAAACAAAATAGATTGTTTGCTTCCATATTTTTTCTGTAGTAGGACATATATTATTAACATTTTAAAATGTATCAAACTATGAGTTTCCACAAAATTTATTTTTTCAAGTGTATTTGAAGCCAGGCACAGTGGCTCATGTCGATAATCCCAGTTACTCCAGAGGCTAAGGCAGGAGGATCCCTGGAGTCCAAAAGTTTGAGACTAGCATGAGCAACATAGCAAGACCACATATCTAAAATAATAATAATAATAATAAATAATTAGCTAGGGATGTTAGCATGTCTACCCACAAGGCTGAGGCAGAAGGACTGCTTGAGCCAAGGGCTTCAAGGCTGCAATGAACTATGATTATGCCACTGAACCCTAGTCTAAGTCACAGAAAGATTCCGTCTCTTAAAAATATATAAATATAAGGAGAATAAAATGTATTTGAGAAATGCTGGAGTAAGATCCTCAAAGATTTAAGAAAGAAAATGAATCTCTTCACTTTCAGTCTTACATGTGAAGGAAATCAAAATATTTCACCCCAAAATATGGCTTCCTGGTATAATGAGTATTTTAAGTTAAAAATTCTTGGGAATCGATGATCACTAGGAGAGACTTTTTTTCCTATCTACAAAAAGTCAGAATTTACCTGCCTAGGAGAACAAGTGTTCTTGTTTCCCTCCCTGTAATCTCATTATCCATTACAGGAAAGAAAACAAAAAATCTAACCACATCTGAACAGACCCTTTTGCAAGATAATCATTGTCTTCAAGCATCATTTAAGTTCTAAAAAAAGGAAACTGTTTACAACTTAATTTCTGTTCCGTTGTAATCATTTATTGCCCCTCCATAAAATTTATTCTCTTTGCCTTCTCATAAACTATTTTACCAGGATCCAAGCCCCCATTCTCGTTGTAACCTCAAGATAGTAATATAAGCTTCTGTACTTCTTTGGGAAGTTGAGTTTTCATTCTGAAGGGTCCTGTATATACAAGTTAAATAAATTTGTATGTATTTTCTCTTATTAATTAATCAGCCTCATTATCAGTGATTTTCATCAAAACTTTAGGGGTCAAGAGCTTTGTCCCCTGTATGTGTAATTCAAATTTGCGAAATATCAAACTCTAAGTATAAGAAGGTCCAAAAATGTTTTGATTTTATCTATAATGACTATTTTGAGTTTGTTTTAATATTAAGAGTAATTTTCAAAAAAATAAGGGTGTCCCTGCTTTGTTGTACCCTAAATATTATTTGTTTTGTTTTTCTTTATCTTGCCTATTGTTGATCGAACAGTGAATTTGACTCTCTACTAATGCTTCTCTATGTTTAATTAATCTTAATATAAAACTGCCATTCACAACATATAGGTCATTTAGGTAGGAAAGCACTGGTATATTTGTGACAGCAAAGGATCCAGTTAATAAACTTCACTACTAAAACTTAATACTGATCTCACTGACTATGATTAAATTCAAATTTAATAATTATAGTGCTATAGTCCCTACAGATTTCTCATTGTAATACCATCTAAATGTTTATGTTTTAGCCCTCAACACAAACACTCATAAATACTATAGTAGAAGACAGAACAAGTAAGAAGACACTAAGTTTGGGCTTATTAGTTACATCTCTATTTATTGATTATCTACTATATGTCAGACGCTGTGTTAGAAAATTCCTATATATCATTCCTAATTATTAAAATGATATAACTTATCTCTATCTTATGTTTCAGAAAGTTAAGTTTCAAAGTGTTTAAGGCAGTGTTTTCAAGGCATGCAACTGCATAGTTGAAGAATTAGGATTTGAACTCACCTTTGCCTTACCAAGTGCTCACGAGCACACTATTTTATGGAGCCCTACCGAGTATGGGAAAGTGGAGAAGAGAGGATGATGTTTTCAGGGAAAAGGTCTTTTTTCAAGGACTAACAATACCTAATGCCTCAGAAATTCACTTTCTCCTAATATCTGAGAAATAAAAATAAATCCAAAGCCCCTAAAACAACTGAATGGACCTTTTCCCTGCCCAGGGAACCCCATAGTAACCTTGAAAACTGTATTCTCAGCCATGACAGGAGGCCTCATTATACACCAACCTCTCACTAACTGCCTTTAGACTTTTTTCCCTAAAGAAGACAGCCCTTTCAGAAGACTTCACCACTGAAAACAGAAAACAGCCCTTTCGAAAGACTTCACCAGTGATATCAACCAACCTTGATGCTGCCTTTCCTTATTTTGCCTGTTAGACCACGACCATTGAATGGCTATAGCCATCTTCAGAGAATGCTTAGTAAGGATTTTCATGTCCTGTGCTTCACTTTTTGATGCCATAGGGCTGAAAACTCCACCCTCACACCATGCTAATGCCACCATTTTTGTACATGGAATCCATGGAGAGGCATGTTCATGTTCATGCACAAGTTTCTCCTTTCATAAATATTCATGACTTCTCCTATATCCCATTGGGGAAAATATAATATATATATTCAGCCATCTTGCTTAGCATAAATTCCTGTTCCTTTTGCCCCTCCCTCAAAGTATCTGCTTTTGGCTTCCAACCAGAGACTATGCTTCCCAACCTGTCTGAATGGCCACCGTGCATGCTGCAACCCTTTGTAAGAAACAAAGTCTCCTCTTCTAAATTTATAAATTATACTTTTTAAAAGTTAAGATGTCTATCTGAAGTTGCATCTTCATATTGTACCACCAAGAACCATCTTGTTTAGATCATAATGAATTTGAAAGATCATACCAAACCCTGTATGCTTAAGGTCCTCTTAAGAAAGAGGGATGGAGAATAAGAAGGTGACAAACATGTTATTTCTAAAATAACAAAGACTTGCAATTGCAAGAGCTAATTAAAAATACTAAATACTAATTAAATACTAAATTCTAAAAAAAGGCCTGATTCTTCCAACTGAAAATAAGGAAAGAAACACCCCTCCTCACCCCTTTTTCTTAGAATACTTACTTTAAAAACTCATAGGTCATTTCTCCCTCTCTGTTTAAAAATGTATATAACTCCTTTAAAAGCTAATTAAGCCTCTTGCCAACTTTATGGCCCAGGAAAGCCTTTCTCAAGGACCTGGGAAGTATCTCTTTGAAATGTAATAATCAAGAGAGATAATGTTCCATCTCTCAGTTCCTGTGGAAAATTTAATCTGTTTACATATATAGGGCTATATATCCCTCTTAGATTCTTTACATTTAGTGACAAATACTATCTAGCTTAAATAAAATTATTGAAGGAAATACATGCTTGAAATATATCACTACTCTTTGTAGTTATTTCATATACATCAACAAAAGAGTAAACCTTGTAGCAACATAACAAACTAATAAATCATGAGGGAAGGGACTTACATGATCAATTAGTTCACGAACCATTCCATTCCATTGTCCATTGGCATCATCCTGGGCTCCATATTTCCCATCTTCCACAAGTCTAATTTCATATGTAAAGCCAAGGATTGTAGATAACTCTCTGAGGAGATCAATGCAATAGCCTTCAAATCGATCATTACCATAGAGAGGTTTGTCAGACTTCTTAAAAAGGACATAAGGCTCTTCCTGAAAACATTGAAAAAGAAGAAAAGAGGTAACAGTTAATCATGAAACTCATCATCAGAATTATTGCTTTTCTTAGAAGACAGAAATTTTCTCATTAATTTAGGACAACAGTCAACTTTATTTTCTTCTAATTATAATTAATGAAGTCTAGAATATTAAAAGAAAATTCAGGTTTTATATGAAATAGTAGTGCTTTACAAAAAAAACTTAACTATTGTAATCCCACCATGACTATATAACAAAAATATGGTATATCTTATATCTTATGCCATAAATCTTATTATATATAACCAATAATATGTGATATGTAATATATGCTATATAATACATCATATCCGACATCTAATTTCACCATGATTATAATACCTCAATTTGAATTATATCATTTAATCAATATCTGGTATGCTGTTTCCATGGGATCTATGGATAAAATTAATGAAAAAAATTGCTGACTAATTGCCTACTATGTGCAAAGAACTGGAGTGTGGACTTTTTATATATATAATCACATTTTGTCCCAACAACCATGAAAATTACAACTACTATATTTAATTATAGTTTAAAAAGTAGTAGTTTACTTTAAAATATAGATGAAGAAGGCCAGGCACCATGGCTTGCACCTGTAATCCCAGCACTTTGGGAGGCCAAGGCGGGCAGATCACGAGGTCAGGAGATCAAGACCATCCTGGCTAACACGGTGAAACCCCATCTCTACTAAAAAATACAAAAAAAATTAGCTGGGCGTAGTGGCGGGCGCCTGTAGTCCCAGCTATTCAGGAGGCTGAGGCAGGAGAATGGCGTGAACCCGGGAGGCGGAGCTTGCACTGAGCCAAGATTGCTCACTGCACTCAAGTCTGGGTGACAGAGTGAGACTCCGTCTCAAAAAAAAAAAAAAAAAAAGAAAAAAAAATAGAGAGAGAGAGAGGAAGAAAGTGATCTTTATCAAGTGCTTATGCATTCATCCAACATAATTTTATGGAGCACCTATTGTGAGCCAGCCCTCCTCTATATAAATAGAAATCCTTGAGCCATGAAGTTCATGATAAAGAGAAGAAAACAGTTAACAAATGCCTAAACAAATACAACACATATTATCAGATCCTCCTAAGTGGTATAAAAACATAAAATAGGTCAATAGAAAAGAAAACAACTGCAAGGTACTCGGTAAGATAAGAGAAGACAAAATTAAGTAATTTCCTGAAAGTCTTTTCAGAGAAGGTAAGAGACGAAGTATAATCCAACAGATGAGAAAGAGTCTAGACACTTGAAACTCTGAAAACAGAGTATTTCAAGCCAAGGACACAGCATGGTAAAAAGCCCTGAGACCAACATAATATTGGAGTGTTTCAGGAAGAGGATAATTGGCAACAGTGTGACAGAAGTCACATCCAGTAAGTGAGTGAGTTGGTTGAACAAGATCTGAATAAAAAAGGGGTGAGGAGCCAATTTTTGTGAGGCTCTGCAAATTAGGCCCTATGAGAAATTTGTATGTTTAACTAAGTGCAAAAAGATTCCATGCATTAGCACATTTTATCGAAGGCACTTGCACATGGTATGGCAGACTGTGCTGCTATGAATAAACCAAGGTGCAACAATTGGTTCTGCTATTCACTATTTGCTTATGGGCAAAGCCCCTGTTATCTTAGAGGAAGCTATTACAGAGTGAGAAAAGTTAGGATACTCCCATGCCAGTCCACCTAGGAATGTGCTCACCCTCTTCCCCAACCCCTGGAGAACAACAGTCATCCCATGAGAGCTATCCTAAAGGAGTTTTAGACATGACAGCCATGTGTCAGCTTGCCCACACTCAACTAAGAAATAATCAAGATTATTTTCATCTTCCTTCCCATCTCTGTGGACTTACCTTATCTCTATACAGTTGTATGCACCCTGCAGCCTCACCTCCTGTTATTCTGACCCTTTCTAAACACTGCCACTGTGTGTTAGAGAAGTCCTGGTCAGAGATTGGCACGTTGTTTCGTATCTTCACCTGATTTTTAGAATGACCATTTTATCTCCCTGCTCTGCTGGACTGTACCCTGATGACATTGCTTAGCCTTCAGCTCTCTTTCCTACAGACTATTTTCATTTACCTCCACATCCCTTGGAGACAGAGGCACATTTGGTGTTTTCCCTGCCCCTCATTGCTGTCCCCACACCATTTTTTCCCCTGCCTTGTGCAGTAACTACTGCTCCTCTGAGACTCATTCCACCCTGCTAGACCAGGCTCTCTCTCTCTACAATTGCTGTCATTCAATGAAATCTGGTTCAAAAGTTTTATTAAGTAGGAAGAGAAGCCTTTACTTTTCAAATATTTGACTACTGGATGGTAATTTTGCTCTTTTTTCAAATTCTTATTATTCTCGGTATATTCAAAATCCACCTACATGAAGTATCCAATACAGCTGATCTCTTAATTCTTTTATTTACTCATTACCAAATTATTTCCCTCATTGAAGTCTAGTCTCTCTTCCGCATGGTCAAAACTGCAGCCTGCATTTGTCAGAAAATTAGTTAGGATTTCTAACAACCCACTCATCCAACTCATTGTTTAATCACACCCACGCCTGTGCTCTTCGATCACATAAAGACCCCCAATTCAGTGAACTCACGTTTCCCTACTATTTCTCAATCCTCTCCTGACTTCACTTCATTATCTGGCCCCAAATTCCATGGTCCATTATTATAATTCCTCAGTTAAATGTTTATGTTCCTAAAATTAGTTATGAGCTCTAACCTTTTTTCTTAAATTTTATTCCTACTTTTTTCTGATCCACACACATCAAATTCAATAACATCTTTATCCTGATGACCTCAAAATTTATATATTAGGCCCACACTTCTTGCAAGTCTTAGGCACACGTATCCAATAGCACTTGTCAGCATGATTTTATGTCTCATAGACATTATATTACAGCTCACATTTAACATGTCCCAAATATAATTCTTGTTTTCCCCAAAACTTTTACATGTTTTCAGTTTTCTCTGCTTTTAGAAAATGGCACCATCGTTTACTCTGCTACTCAAACTGATTTGTGAGTCATCATCTTTGCTTCCCTTTCTTTTAGCTCATTTGATACAGAGAAACACAAGGGATCTTACTGAAGGATACATTGAATTACCTCCCCACTACTACTTGAAATCATCACATAGATTCCCAATGTGTTTAGAATAACATTCAACATCATTGCCATGGGCCCTAAAACCTGTTGTTCTACCACTTGCTCTCATCTTGGTGAAAGGCTTCACAACTCACAAAACTGATTAAGTCCAAAGCCAGGCAATCATTCTCAAATTCTGTTTTATCCTTTGTAAATCCTGCAAATTCTCCCCTCAAAATATATACTGATTCTACTAATTTCTTTACACTGTCCCCTGCTAGAATCATGGCTCATGTAGCCTTTATTTCTTATCTGAATTCCTATTGTAACTACATCTTTTACTTTCCATTTCTGCCCCCCCTCAGTCCATTCTCCCCAGAAAGTCGTAGCAATCTTGTAAAAACTAAATCTGCTTTTATTGTGCATTTGCTTAAAACCCAACAGTGGCTTTTCATTAAAACTGGAATAAAATAAAAACTGTTTATGCTGGTCTTCAAGGCCTATTCTCTTTGAACTTAGCTTCTATTCCCTCTCTTTCTCATTTTATTCCAGGCATTGGCCTTCATTTTGGTCTTCAAACTTGCCAGATTTGTTTCTAACTCCACGTCTTGGCTCTTTGCACTGCCTTTTTATTGATTGATTGATTGATTGATTTTTCTGACAGGGAAGATCTATCTTAAGATCTTCACATGGTTGTTTTCTCGTCATTTAACCCTATGCTCAAGATTCACCACTTCAAAGAAACCGCATATATATGTTACCTCTTTCCTCTAAGGTACTCTCCATTATTCTACCCTGCTTTGTTTTGCTCATAGCACTCATCCCATCTGAAGTTTTGTTTATTTATCTTTTGATGTATGTGCAATTCTTTCTTCCCCTATTATGACATAAACCCATGAGTATAGAGGAATTAGAGATTATGTTCATTAATTTATCTCAGTGCATAGAAGAAAATGACTGGCAAGCCGTTGGTGCTCAAGGCACATGTGTTAAATGAATAAAATATTCATCATAAAGGCTTAAAACTTACCTTTCTCTCTCCAACTCTATTTTCTTTTCCTTAAGGTCTAGATATCCTGTTTTCTCCCAGATTCAAAAATACAAAGCTATTTTCCATCTCAAAGCCCTTTACCTGTTGTTTTATCTGTCTATAATGCTCTTCAAATGGTGAGCTCTTTTGCTTCCTTTAAGGCTCAAGTTAAATATAAAATCTTTCCTTTGGTTCTATCTAAAGAGAATCTTCTCTGTTATTATCTATCTCATTATTTATTTTCTCACAGTACTTAAGTCATTTTCAATTGTTTTACTTGTTGGCTTACTATTGGGTTTTTGTCTCACTCTCCTAAAATATAACATTTATATGAACTCATTATAATATCTTCCATGCCTAATACAATGCCTAGCATATAGTAGGTGCCCAGTAAATACTGATTGGATAAATTATTGATAAATTAGTTACTTCTATAACTCAATTTTCTAATTTCTAAATATATTTAACAATACATTTAAAGTTGTTAGGGGAATTAATTAAAAAAATCCTGGCAAAAATCAGCTTCTTAACATAATTTCATTATTTCAGCTTCCCAATAATTTTTCATGATTCTTTTTTTTTAAGTGATAGACTTAGGCTGGGCGGCACAGCTTACACCTGTAATCACAACAGTTTGGGAGGTCGAGGTGGGTGAATCACATGAGGTCAGAAGTTTGAGACCAGCCTGGCCAACATGGTGAAACTCCATCTCTACTAAAAATATAAAACTTAGCCGGGTGTGGTGGCAGGTGCCTGTAGTCCCAGCTACTTGGGACACTGAGGCAGAAGAAGCTCTTGAACCTGGGAGGTGGAGGTTGCAGTGAGCCGAGATTGTGCCATTGCACTCCAGCCTAGGCAACAGAACAAGACTGTCTCAAATTAATTAATTAATTAATAGACTTAATTTTTCTAGCAATTTTAGGTTCACAGCAAAACTGAGCAGAAGGTACAGACATTTCACATATCTCCCTACCCCTCCTAGAGGCCTAGTTTACCCTACTATCAACATCCAGCACCAAATCAGTACATGTTCACAACAGACGAACATTCACTGGCACATCATTACCACTCCCAGTCCATAGTTTACCTTATGGGCACATTCTTGGTGTTGTCTATTTTATGAGTTTTGACAAATGTATAATGGCATGCATCCACCATTGTAGTATCAATACAAAATAGTTTCAATGCCCTAAATATTCTCTGTGCTTTTACATATTCATTCCTTTCCCCACTCTAACTCCTGGCAACCGTTAATCTTTTTAGTAGCTCCAGAGTTTCGCCTTTTCCAGAATGTCACATAGTTGGAATGTGGCCTTTTCAGATTGTTTTCTTTCACTTGGTAATAAGCATTTAAGTTTCCTCCATGTATTTTCATGGCTTGATAGCTCATTTCTGTTTTCTGCTGAATAATATTACATAGTGTGAATATACCACAGTTTATTTGTCCACTCACCCACTGGAGAAAATTTTGGTGGCTTCCAAGTCTGGGCAATTATAAATAAAGTTGCTATAAACATCCATGTGCTGGTTTTTGTGTGGACATAAGTTTTTGGTTTATTTGGGTAAATATCAAGGTGGATGACTGCAAGATCATATGGTAAGAGTATGCTTAGTTTTGAAAGAAACTGCCAAACTGTCTTCTAAAGTGGCAGCCCTGTTTTCTATTCCCACCAATAAGAAATGAGAGGCTTTGTTGCTCCACATTCTTCCTAGCATTTGGTGTTGTCAGTGTTCTGGATTTTGGCCATTCTTGAGGGTATACGGTGATGTCTCATTGTTGTTTTAATTTGTAATTCCCTAATGCCATATGATGTTAAGCATTTTTTCATATGTTTCAATGCAGTCTTATTGGGACTATTTTCATTTGACATTTAAATTTTCAAAGAGGTTAAATAATTTTCCCAGGTCACATAGCTAAGAAGAGGTAAAGAACAACTAAAAGAGGCAACAAAATAAGAGGTTTGAACCTAGGTTTTTCAACTTCCACAATACCTACTTTTCCCACTATTTTAGGTTGCTTTCTACATCGTAATATCGTCTGGGAGAAAACCGTATATGTTGGATTTTTAAATTGAATCAGATGGGAATCAGAAATTAATCTGTTAACTACATCCAAAGCTACATATTTGAGCTTAACATAAGTAAAAGAACAGTTAGGATCTTGTCTGATTTTTATGTAACATTTGATCACATATAAACTTTATTCCCCAGGGGTACACAAAGTACTGCAAATGTAACAGATGTAGTGCCCTTCCACCCAAGAGGTTATCATACCCTTTTGCCTCACTACTCTTCCTGGCCTGCTAGTCTTTCAAGTAGATAACACATTTCCATAGATCATAGTTTATATGCCCTTGTTATATTAGAAAGGGAAGAAGCCCTGTGGTGAAACAGCTTTCTGGTACTGAGTATTCACTTTTCAGACATATTTAGGTGTTTCTTTTTCTGGTGCTCCTGCAACAACTTTTGAATACTTTTACCATAGCATTTATCATACCAAGTAGTAGGTGATGATTTATATGTAAGCCTTCTGAACTAGACTTGAGCGATTTACTCGGCAAAATGGTTACTTAATTTTGCTTCAAAAGCACCAAACATCCCCTGGCTCATAGCAGGCTTACCAATAAAATGACTGCTGAAATGAATTGAATAGAAACGAATTGTTCTGGTCAACCGGGGAAGCCAGGGAAACCTGAACTTGAAGGAAAAAAATTGAGACAGGTAAGTTCCACTATGAGGCTCGGGCATGATGGTAACAAATCCTCAAGTCACTAACCCATGTGTAGAGGGTTAAGGACTTGAGGAGAATATCATATTCCCTTGCAGAGTAGGGGAAAGACTGAGAATACAGGGTTGGTGGAATGGGAAAAAAATAAAGCATGTAGGTATAGTAAATTAGCTCTATTGATTTCATACTTTTGTTTCATTTAGGTTATGATTTTCAAATACAGAGTTTGTTTTGTTTTGTTTTGTTTTACTTAAAAGGAACAAAGATCGACAATTTGCCAATCCCCATGACTAAGCAATAGTAATGTTTAACATTTCCCAAGCACTTACTATGTGCCAAACCCTGTTCTAAATGCTTTACTTGGATTATTTCAATTGTATTCTCCATAACAACTACATGAGGTCAGTAATATTATATCTATTATGAAAAAACTGAGGGAAAGGGTGTTAAGATTTTTTTTTTTTTTTTTTGCCCATAGTCAACAGCCAGTATACAACTCAGCCAGGCTGACTGCTGGACCACTTACCCATCCCTCCCATACTTCCTTGATTAAATAATTCTTACTGACCATTTCCAAACTCCATGTGAATATAAAATTGTAAATAGTTCATTACATAATTAAACACCTGTTGTATGACTTTTTTTTTTTTTAGTTAACTGGGATTAGCCACTGGGCTATATTGTATGCAAAATGGTATTAATTATTGAACAATGCCATCAAGACAACTTTATGGAAGAAAATAAATAGTAAATATAAAATACACAAAATTCATTTTCTACCTGACAAATCATCTCATTTCTAAATAAAAGCACACCTTTTTAACATAAAGTATTTTAAGAATTTATAAAAATAACATCTATTAAACTAATCAGATTTAGGTAGCAACATATGACTATCTAAAAATGCTTTTTCTTCTGTTTGCATTGTTAAATTATAATTGTCTCTATTTTAAATTAAATTATATTCCTAAGTACTTTTTATTTATTTTTCACAGAAACTGACTTGAACACTGGATAAAATATAATCAAAGTTGGTGTTAGGAGTCTGTGAAGCATATGAGGGATATATGTGTGCAATAAGTGAAAACAGCAATATAATTGTAAAAGTTATTAGGCTATTTAAATCTTATTACTCTAACTTGTCCTACTAGCCTCCTACCTGTTAATTTGATTTCCTTCACCTAAAGCTAATAAGAAAACTTCTGTCATAGGCAAATAAATTTGTTGATCCCTCTGAGATTAAAAAACCTACTTAGATATATGTCTTCAACAGGTTTGCACATCACTAGAAAAAAATATTTGTGGTCTGAGTGCATCTTTTTAGTATTTATGGATCTCCACAATGTCAAATATTACTCTTCCCATATTTAATTCTGATAAGTAAGATGCAGTTTTCTTGCTTTGATTCCTATCTCCAGCTACACTGTGTCATGGGATAGTTTTACATCAAGTTATGACTCTCCTTTAAGCTCTCTTTCTCTGTTTCACACGGTACAAGGATAAATAATAACCTCACGTAAGAGAAGAAAAATGGTACCAAAAGCAATTACTGCATCACATACCAAGTTCATTGAATAATATGATAAAACTCTCCTGGGCAACTTAACTGATTTCTCATATAGTCTTAAATCTCCACATCAGCATTTGCTAGAGGTAAAGGCACTTCATTCCACTGGCATCTGTAATAAGGATTTGTCAGCATTTCTACTATCAACCCCAGTTTTAAGGAACCCAATAACTCATATATTTTTATCTGCATTAGACTGGGAGTTGGCACAGAATGAATCCAAAATGAAGTTCTGAAAAAGTAAAATACATTTTAAGGTTGAGGGTATAAAAATGTTTTATTTAAATATAATAAAACTTTTAATAATGTTTAAAGCATATAACTCATGTATCTCTCAGCTCTTATCTAGGGCTCAATTATCTTTTTCATATGTTAACCCTGAGATATCAGTGTCTTACTCATGCTACTTAAAACATAGGGACATTAAAATGTAAATTAATTTTAATGTGATATGTATAAAATATCCCCTGCTATTACAATGATAAGAATAAATAAACCAATGTATTTACCCAAGCATACACTGAACTCTTACTCTGTCCCAACACTCTTCCAGGTGCTAGGTATACAACACTGAACAATGAAAAACAAATCAAAACAACATAGAAAAATTCCTGCCCTTATGAAACTCCCAATCTAGTGGTGAATTTGAAATCCCTACCAATTATATATTATCCTGTATTTATTTACACGTCTACTTTGCTTCATTAGTTATCAGAAGTGGAATGCAGAATGTTCTCACAGGCTACGTTTTTGAGAAACAGGGACATGTGTCTTGTTTTAGAGCATTGTGGTGAATCTCAGAACACAGGATGCTGTAGCCCACAAATCATTTATTTTGAAAAATAGACAGGTATATTCAGGTAACCCCAGTCTTGTTCTTGAATTTATCCTTATGACTAAAAAACTTGTAAAGTTTATTTGTGGCAACAGCTGAAATTCCAGTTTCTTAAAGATATCAATGCATTTAGAAAATATTACCTAATGGTGCCTTTTTTTTTCCTTAATGAACATAGGGTTGACCAAAAAAAAAAAAAAAAAAAAAAAAAACCCTCCTTTTTTTAAATAGCATCCCTATGGGCCAAATGAAAAAGACATAATGGTTACAAAAAAATAATCTAAGATTAAAGTAATATTACGGCAATTGAAACAAAACTGAGCAGTTCATATTTTCCTGAAAATAATTTATTTCCTTCTATTTTCTGAGCAGTGTGTTCAGTCTCTATATCTTATTACTGCCCTCTTACTGAAGGCATTAAATCATAACTAGTAAGAGGGCAATCTAGTTTTTATAGAGTATGGAAATCAAGGCAGATGTTAAGTTGATTGAAAGTAGAAGGCTGATGAATGGGCAACAGAAATAGTGGAACAATTATGCTTTTCAGGAAGGTGAGTTGGTTCATTATAACTATCAGACTTACACCTTAACAACAATAAAATGAAACAGACCTCAACATATTTCCCCCTAAGGGCTCAAGAGGTGCTCAGGATAATGCAGAGGGGACAGTCACACTTTTAAAAGGGAGATTAAGGATGAAAGGTATTACTATGGACAGCAATGTTAAGGAGATGGAACAAAGGATAACCCTCTGCCCTTTTTCGTTGGGTTAGTTTTGGTTTGGGGGTTTTTCTTTGTTTCCCTTTCTACCTAGACCATGCTTTACTTGAATTTTCCCAAATCTTCACTTGCAGTCCTCTCATCCAAGCACAGAGGATAAACATTCGGAAAGTCTGCTTTACTAGATAGTATAAGGCAGCAAGTTTTAGTTACCTGTTTTAACATTCTTTTCAACCCTGTTTAATATTATTTTTATTTGATTTCAGGCATCTAAACTAAAAATTTTTATTAGATAAAATTTTCATGGATAGGTTTACTTTTATTATGGGTAAAAGGTATTCTTCTCAAATGATGAAAAACACCCAAGAAATATAACTAATGCTTACAAAGAAATACAAGCAGAATAAAGGAAGATTTTCAGCAAAGATAAATTTTTCTCTCACAAAAATGTTATCAACTCATTACTCTAATAAGCAACACTCTTGGGTAGATTTAGCACACATACAGTATGATTTGATCAAGGGATGGGGGACAGCTTATAAACACCATGAGAATGATCCCCAGTAGTAATATATGTGTTTGATTGGCATGTTTATTGATAATTGACTACCGCCACTCCTGTATTTCCATAGTAACCTCTAAGTGAAAAGAGCAACTCCAAAGATGATCAATAAATTACCATGATTTTCTAAATTTTTATTTGAAGTTTAACAAGATGCATGTAGATATCTATATTGGAATACCTCGTGTTAAAATATAAATATTTTGGATGTATTCATTCATCCATTCATCCACCAATTTAGTCATTAATACATTCATGAAACAAATGTTTTTATGTAAATTCTGAATATAGATATGTAGACTAGAGGTTCAAATTTTTTCCTTTAAAGACCAAATAGTAAATATTTTTGGCTTTATGAACTATATAGTCACAACTATTCAATTCTGTCATTATAGTGTGAAAGCAGCCATAGAAGCAGTTGATAAACTGGCAAACCATCAGAATCAATTTTTAAATAACTCTAGAATTGAATAAAAACTTACAACGACAAGGAAATGTTTAGTGAAGGGAAAAACTACAGAATCTTGGTTGGAGAGCTCTGTGGCATATTAATTTACCCTGTTGATACTATTTGATACTCCTCAGCTCCACAACAGTCTTGAAGATAGTAGCCTGCATTCCTGATGCAGGTCATACACACCATAGGAAACCATATGGACCTTATTCTTACAGAATTGTTACGTATTTTAACCTGTGTGGTGGCTCCCAGAGGGATGGGCTCAAGGACTTGCCATTGGTTCATCTGCATAAGGAGCTTCCCTAAGGCTGAAGCTGCTTCACACGTGGTGTTTTTTGTAAGCATTTAAAGGCAAATATATTACCTGCCACCTGGTGGGTAAGAGGGAAAAGTAGGGGCAAGAAATAGATTGACCTGAAAGCCTGAGACAGAAAGACTAGGGAGGAAATACTTGGGGGCACTAAGAGCTGGGACAAGCTCCCGTATAGTCAAGGGAATCTAGCAGTCCATGCACATAACCAGTGGGGGATGTATGCTCAGAAAGGACCTGACAAGACCCTAAGCCCTTACCTCTGGCTAGATTCAGGCTCCATGCAAGCAGGAAGGAAGAATAGGGCAGAATTGTAAACTGCCTGGCTAAACAGTAAAGGAGTGCCCCAATATACAACCAAACTACAAAGACGGGAAGTTTGGTTTTGTTTCTTGTTGTTTTGTTCCAGGAGTTTAAGGAAATCTCTGTCAAGTTACTAAGGTACTACTAACCTAACAATCACACATTTCAGTGGCCACCCAGAACAAAAAATACAGACTTTACAAAATTAATTTAGCAAGGTCACTAAACAACAAAGAACTACAATAACCAGTAAACAAAAAACCCTGGGTGAGGGGAATATCTTATTTCTAGAGTTGCAATATTATACTGTTTAAAATGCCCATTTTTTAACCAAAAAAAAGTGAAAAATACAAACAAGAAAGTACAGCCCATTGACAGGAACAAAGAAATTAATAGAAACTGGCCTTGAGAGAAACCAATGAGTTGCAGAGGAAATTAGAAGGGAAATTAGAAAATGCTCTGTGATGAATGAAAACAAAAGCAGAACATATTAAAACTCAATGGATACAGTGAAAGCAGTCCCTCAAAGGGAATTTACAGCTGTATATATCTACATTAAAAAGGAAGAAAAATCTCAAATAAGTAACATAAATTTACACCATAGAAACCTAGAAGAATAAGATCAAACTAAACCTGCAGGTAGGAAGAAAAGAAGAAAGATTACCTCAGAGATAATAAAAGAGAGAACAGAAAAAAAAAATAGAGAGAAGCAATGGAACCAAAATTTGATTATTTGAAAAGATGAACAAAATTAACAAATCTTTAGCTAGACCAATCAAGAAAAAAGTAATAGCAAAAAAAATCAGATGAAAAAAGAGGGCCTTTGCTACCAATTTTGTAGATATAAAAAGTTTACAAGAGAATCATAGAAATAATTACACATCAAAAATTAGACTACCCCAATGAAATAGACAAATTTCTACAGAGACACTGCTATCAAAACTTCCTCAAATAGAAATAAAAATCTGAATATATCTAGAGAAAATAAAGAGATTGAACCAGTCATCCAGAACCTCCAAAGAAAATCCCAGAACCAAATAACTTCACTGATGAATTCCATCATCATTTAAAGAAAATTCAACACCAATCCTTCTCAAACTCTTCCAAATAATAAAACAGGAGGGAACACCTTCTTGTCCATTCTTTCAGGCCAACACTACCCTGATACTAAACCAGAAAAGACTTCACAATAAAAGAAAACTACATACCAATGTCCCTTAAGAATACAGATGTAAAACTTCTCAACAAAATAATGAGAATCATCTCTTGAACAAAGGGCATTGGGACAACTAAAAATCTACATGTAAATGAATGAAGTTGATACTTACCTCACATAGTACACAAAAAATTAATCCAAAGTTATCATGATCTAAATGTAAAAGATAAAACTATAAAACTCTCACAATAAAATATATAGGTAAGACTTCATGATTTTGGATTTGGCAATGGATTTTTTGATATGACACCAAAAATACAATCAACAAAAAATATATAGATAAATTGGACATTATCATAAGTGAAAACTTTTGTGTATGAAAGGACATTGTCAAACAAATGAAAAGACAAACTAAAGAATGGGAGAAAATATTGTGAATCATATAACTGATAATATTCTACTATTCAGAATATATAAAGAACTCCTACAACAACAACAACAAAAAAAAAACAATGCTGTTTAAAAATGGGCACAGAGCTTGAATAGATATTTCTCCAAAGAAGACATATAGATGTCAACAAGCACACAGAAACATGCTCAACATCATTAGTCATTAGGGAAATGCAAATCTAAACCGCAGTAAGATACCACTTCACACCTACCAGGATGTTTTATAATTTTAAAAATGAAAGTAACAAGTTGGTGAGGATATAGAGAAAATAGAACCTTCATACATTTGCTAGTGAGAAAGTGAAATTGTGCAGCTGCTATAAAAAAAATATTGGCAGCTCCTCAAAAAGTTAAATATGGAATTACCATAAAACTCAGCAATGCTATTCTTAGGTATATACCCAAAAAGATTAAAAATTGGTGTTTAAACAAAAACTGTGAACCAATGTGCATAGCAGAACTTTTCACAATAGCCAAATTTTGGAGATAAACTGAATGCCAATCAGTGGTTTCACAGATAAACTAAATGATGAATATGCATAAAATGGAATATCATTTAATCATAAAAGTATTGAAGTATTGATACATGTTACAGCATGGATGAACCTTGAAAATATTATGCTAAGTGAAAGCAGGCAGACACAAAAAGCCACACAGTACATGATTCTAGTCACCCAGAAATATCCAGAGTACGCAAACCATAGAAAGAGAAAGCAGATAGGCTATTGCCAGGGCCTCATGGGTAAAAACAAATGCAAGGCTGGGCACAGTAGCTAACACCTGTAATCTCAGTGCTTTGGGATGCTATGCAGGGAGAACTGTTTGAGGCCAGGACCCACTTGGGCAACATAGCGAGACCCCATCTGTACAAAATAAAAATATTAGCCAGGCCTGGTGGTGTGTGCTTGCAGTCCTAGCTACTTGGGAGGCTGAAGTGGGAGGACTGCTTGAGCCAGGAGTTGGAGGTTGCAGTCAGCTATGATAGCACCACTACTCTCCAGCTTTGGTGACAGAGAATGGGACCCTGTCTCAAAACGACAACAACAACAACAACAACAACAACAAACAAACAATGAACGCAGAATAAATGATTAATGGATACAGAGTTTTCTTTAGGGGTTATGAAAATGATCTGGAACTAGATAGTGGTGATATCTGCACAATATTGTGAACATACTGAAAACCACTGAATTACATACTTTGGTGAAAATGATGAATTTTGCATCATGTAAGTTTTACCTAAATAAAAGAGAAAATACAAAAAACATGTATCTAGCCCTCTGAACTTAGTTTGCCAAACGCTGTACCAAAAAGAAAAAAATGAGACATGTCATGTGTCCTCAAATTGCTATGATATACTATAAACACAACATAATAATGGGCTATTTATATGTGCCATACTCTTACATTATGTGTAAACATCTAGCACAATCATATAATGGAAAATGTATGCTATGTTAAAATCTGGACCAAATTATTTAAAACTAGCAAATGCTTAAGATTGTTCTTTACTAGTGCTTATGAGCAATTACATTTATTCTATTAATTTGATCAGACAAAACTAGTGCTAATAATGGCTCATTATTTTCCAGTTCTAGTACCATTCACAAGCCATGTCGTTCTTTGAGAAGGAATCTTCTACCACAAATTTATTCTCCTATTATTCAACTGTATTACACACATATTGAGAAACATCATATTTCCTTAATTCTGTAAACATTCTCCCATCTTTTTTCCTTATTCTTGCTTTTCCTCAACTCTGAAAGTTTAATGAGTAATAGTGTAAATAAGATAATTTTCCCCTTAAGCACAGAATTGAGGGGACTATTGTATCTCTCAATACCCTTCATTTAAAAAGTAAATTTAGATCTAATTTCTCAAATATTTTATTACATTTTTTCTAAGAGTATGTTTTCTCTTTACACTTTCAAATTATCATCCAATAAGTCTGCCTTTACTTTCTTTTTTTCTTGATTACACCCTGTAAAATTAAAAATGAGGTCATATTAGTATCTATTTAATCATTCATTCAGTATAATCTATTTAATAGATATCTAAAATGTTCCAGGTGTTGTTCTATGTCATAAAGATGAAAAGGCTAAAAAGATATGATATCTACTCTTAAGGAACTCAATGGTCTCATGAGAGAGATAGAAAAGTAAATAGGTAAGTATATGCCAAGTCACAAGGAAATAGCCTTTGAATTTGGTGCCCAGCCTTGGCTACACATTAAAATTAAAATAAACTTAAATTTTTTACAATTAAAATGCAATTAAAATTACAAAACTGAGGTCTGGGCCTTACCCCCAGAAATTCTGATCTAATGCATCTGAGCACTACCTTAGCATCATTATTTAAAAATGAAACAAAGCAAAAAACAACTTCCTATGTGATTATAACGTGCAGTTGGGCCAGATTCATGGGGACGTGACCTGTGCTGTGGTACAGGGCCCAACGTTTCAAAGGACTCTGCTTTTGGGTTTTCTGCTCTGCTAGTGTCCTTTTGAAATTCTTAGTACTTGTTCAACAAGAGATCCCTCATTTTCATTTTGCACATGGGATAGAAATTATTTAGCTGGTCAAATATGCAGTCAAGACAGATAACTATGGAGTTAAAGAAGTGGCGTAGATGGAAATACTTTGAAGAGGGAAAATGACTCATGTGGATGATGGAAAGTATAAATAGTTCTGTAGGACTTAAGTGAAGAAAAGTGTGGAGCAAGAAAGACAGGGGGATACAAGGACATGAAGGCCTAAGTTAGGAAAAATCTTTACCCCCACAAACTCTGACAAACTATCCAGATATAATTATTGCTGATTACCACTCTTTGAATTCATATCCTGCTTAGAATGGCATTCCATTTCCTAAAATTGTTTTAAAGCATCTACCTAAAACCAATTTTGGTGTAATAAATGAGGTTGAATTTTTTTTCTTCAATATTCTCTTTATGTATTTTTCACTACTTAAAGATCGAATAAATTTGAATGTATGAAAGAAAGATGGAGCCAATCGAAAAATGAAGACATTTTGCATCCAAAGATTAGAAGGTGGAGTTTTCAATGACTAGAATTCTATTTCTTTTAATTCACTGAACATTTTGTTTGGAGGCCCTCTGGTGTTAGAAAGGAGATTCCAGTGTTTGCCATCCTCTACTTCTGTTTGTTTCTCCAAAACAAATGGAAACACATTGATAGAGAAATGAATTAGAATAAAGAACTCAATACTAACTTGCTTTCTACCCACATCCCACTCAAAAGTTGATCAGACACTGGAAAACTCCTTCAATGTCACTGAATATGCATGTAAAACAGACATGAAAAAGATCTTGTGCAATGAGAATTATTCCTCAATGATCAGTAGTAGTTAGCCACATCTGTCTACTGAAAGTTCTTTTTCTATAATGAATAGTGAGTTTAACTTTCAGCTGCTGCCTTTTGTAATCAATAAAATAAAAAAAAGTTTTTTGAATACCTATCATTTTAAAGAAAATACTCTGCTTTAAGACAGAGTTGCTTCTCTCAAGCACCTTTTAATCTAGTTGAGGACAGAGAACTTGTACAGAAAAATATAAACTAATACTAAAAGTTTGCATTTAAATGCATAAAGATAACATTTTATAGAAAAAAGGATCATTAGATGTGAGAGAAGGGAAAAGTAAAAATGTCCCAAGTCAGTCAGTTAAATCATCCCAGAGGAAAAACCACCAGAAAAAGGTATGAGTAGAATGAGTATGAATTAGGTAAATGGAGATAAATGAATTTCCAAGCAAGAGAAATGAATTGAGAGAGGATATAGAGAAGAAGTTCACCAACACATGGCCTGAAGAAGAGGAATGGTGGCCCATAAGGAGAAAATGTTAAAAAACATATTAGAAAGTCCGGGGGGAAATAGCAACGAAGAACACCATTTATTATGTTTTAATTTTAGATTACCCTGTGGTCGTTAAAAACGATCACTCACTGACAATTTTGTGCCAGGAATGATGTTATATAATTTATAAATTTTTATCTCTAATAGAAACAAACTTCAAGTTATTCATTATTATTATCCCCACTCCAGTTATGGCAACTTACCTAAAGTAAATCAACTACTAAGTGGCAGGCTCACGATTCAAAACCAGATTCTGACTTCCATTTTTCCATTCAACTCGCAGACCTTACTGAAAGCTTCTTTTCAGTTAGATATTAAATCCAGGTACCAAGTGTCAACTAATTATAGAAATGGTCTGCTCTTCTGCTAATTATTGGTAGGGTATGTAGTTCATAGATTTGCACGTATAAGTGAATTCCATTATAAATATTTGTAAGGGCTTCAAAATCGTCAGAGTCTAACTTATTGTTTTCCACAGTGTATTCTTCTGAGAAATTATGCCCCAAGTTTTAGTTTCAAAAAATCTTTCTGCAGGCTGGGCGGGGTGGCTCACGCTTGTAATCCCAGCACTTTGGGAGGCTCAGGCAGGTGGATCACTCGAGGTCAGGAGTTCGAGACCAGCCTGGCCAACATGGCAAACCCCCATCTCTACTAAAAATACAAAACTTAGCCGGGCATGGTGGTGGGTGCCTGTAATCCCAGCTACTCGGGAGGCTGAGGCAAGAGAGTAGCTTGAACCTGGGGGGCAGAGTTTGCAGTGGGCTGAGATTGCTCCACTGCACTCTAGCCTGGGCAACAGAGAGAGAAACCGTACCAAAAAAAAAAAATCATTCTGAGATATTCACAATGCACGTGAATTTGTTAAACATTCAGTGATAACAAAACCTAACAAACTTTGCTGCTTAACCCAGTATCCTCTAAAATCTATTTAAGTACAGGATAGTTTTAGGGTGTGCCTATATATTTATACCTATCAGAACTGTGGAGCACACTGAAATTCTGATGTAAACAAATAGTAAACACGGAATGCTATTGCTCGAGGGCACAAAAAGTGTGTGCTTCACTTTGAAGGTACTGTTTTGTTTCTCTTCAAGGTCAGGGAGTATCATACTTGCCAACAATGTAAATTTAAAAGTTAAAAACAGCAAATACAAATTTTGAGTTTTTAAAGACATAAAGCTGTGACATACATGAAAATAAATATTTTAGTGCCTTTGGCTATAATTATATTTGAATGTAGCATAAGGTATTCTTCATATAACATGAAATGTTTTTCAAACAACTATATGGCGAAAGCATTTCTTTCTTTTATTAATCCTCTGATGAAGTAGTGAAAAAATGTTTTGTTTGCTTTTCCAATATGAGATTACTCAAAGTAGTTAAAATAAATTCATGCTTTTTGTTTGTTTGTTTTTTTAATCAATTACTATGTAGAACTAAAGCTAAGAGAGCTCAGAATATAAAATTTATAGGATTCAAGTTAAGAATATTCATTCCAGGTTAGGCACCTAATTAATGTCACTATATATAAACACCTAATAAGAAATATGCCTAATAAAATAATTGACTGATAAATGGATAAACCAAGGACTCATCTGTTATTGTGGATTTTTATGTTAAAGCACTGATTCCAGTGATGCCAGCAAGACAAAATATGTGTGTTTTCTATGAGAGGAAGAAGTCTGTAACTTTCTTTTTGAGTCACTGTAGTGGGGTTAATTGGAGTCAGGATATAGTCTGTCATTAAGAGTATCCAATAAATCTCAAATGAAGAGAAGTAATTAGAAATCAATGTCAAGTACTCAAGTTGTAGTTGAAAACACAGAGATCAGGACCTGGGAATCCGATAAGTATCAGGAAATGAAGTTAGGTTGCAGGTATCTGACATATTCAGGATTTACTGGTTTTGAATGTCTCATGGCTGTCATCTTACAATCATCATTTCCCAATATGCTTAAAGAACTTGTGAGCCAGACTCAAAGGACATTTTATTCTTTTAATCCCAGATGCTTTTTACCTTCTTTGGAAGCCCATAATTTATAATTGTTTGTCAAACCAAACAGAATACAGTAAGTTTTAGGACAGAATCACTGAAATAGTGTCAGGAGAAGAAAGAAATGTCCAATAGTGTAAATGTACTGAAACACGTATGTGCTCCCTGAGTGAACTATCACACCATTATTCATGAGACCAACCATCATCTTAACTCCAAAAGTTATCTCCAAGCCAGAACATTCTCTTGAGCTCTGGAATTACATATCTAACTGCCAACTAGATCAATATATTACAAGAAAATAAAATGCAATATGTTCAAAATTAAATTCATCCTGTATTATTTCAATTCTGCTTTTTTACCTCAATCCCATTTCCAGTCATATTTATCAGAAAGATGTCTTCCTAAATTCTGACTTCATAAAGTCCAATTTGCAAATGATATATTCTTCATTTTTCCCCCATATATCTTACAAATCTGATTTCTTTCCCTCATCCCTTTAGAGTCTTCCATAATTCAGATCTTATCAGCTTGTATTCTTGCAATATTTTTTGGCTGTTCTCACCAAATCTTGTCCAGTGAACAACAATTCCACCTTCAAAACTAAAAGGGATCTTTAAAACCCCCAACTTGATCATACTGTTCATGTATTTTAAATCCTTCAAAATTTCTTTAATATCATAAAAACTAAATTCCTTCAGGAAACTTACAAAGGCTTTCTACTTTGATGTTGCCTATCTGTTCACACTCATCCATCACCAGTCCCTTACATTTTCTGTGCTACATCAGTGGTAGACTACTTAGAGTTATTCATATATCCTAAACTCTTTCACACATCTGTGCCTTCAAATATACTTTTCCCCACTATCTGAAATATCTTACATTCCTTCTTCACCTAATAGACTCATATTCCTAAACCAAATACAGCTCAAGGATTGGTGAAAAGTAAGCACTGGCATTGCCTCTACTGGCACCCAACCAAAGTAGTTGTGAGGTTATGAGCAAAGATACAAATTCAGAACAGTGAAAGTCAGAGTAGCCTGGAGTCTTGCTAAAAGTTTGTAGGCACAAAATTCAGATATGTACAAAAAATTGTGTTTGAAGGTAACTGGTAAGTTGTAGGCATTCTTGTAAAAACAAACAAACAAACAAACAAAACTGGTGCAGGAGCATGAACCTGGCATCAAAAAGAGCCTCATTCAATTAAAAAAAAAAGCATATTCCAGACTATTTTTAAGAAATAAGCTGTATTTCTGGGCACAGTGGCTCAAGCCTGTAATCCCAGCACTTCAGAAGGCCAACGTAGGTGGTTCACCTGAGGTCAAGAGTTTGAGACCAGCCTGGCCAAAATGGTGAAACCTCGTCTCTACTAAAAATACAAAAAATTAGCCAGGCGTGGTGGTGGGCAGCTGTAATCCCAGCTACTTGGGAGGCTGAGGCACGAGAATTGCTGGAACCCAGGAGGCAGAGGTTGCAGTGAGCCGAGATCGCACCATTGCACTCCAGCCTGGGCAACAAGAGCAAGTCTCCGTCTCAAAAAAAAAAAAAAGTTGTATTAATAGAGTGAAAAAAAGAGGGTTAGCTGTTGGTAATGAATTATGTTTAAAATAAATGAACTCTTGAAATGGAAAAATTGCAGATACAAAATTCCGTCTGTGGTCTTATTGATACGTAGGTAATACCACAGTCTTACTGTGACAGTGTGTTTCCACTGGCACAGCAGGGTGGTCAACTTGGCTTACACATGTGGCTGGAATCCATGACCTTTTTGTTACACATTGAAAATATATAGAGTTACAGGCAATTGATTAAGGAATCTTGGTGGGTTGATTTCTTTTTTCACCCATCACTAGATTAATGGCTGTGGCCTCTATAACAAAATACAGATTAACAAGAGCAAAACATACAAATTTATTTAATACAAGTTTTACATGACATGGAAACCTTCAGAAATGAAGACTCTCCAAAATGAAGTAAACTTATGTACTTTTATGCTTAAGTTTGATGAAGAATGGACAGTTAAGGGGAAATAGGATTTGAGAACAAAAGGGTAGGATCTAACAGTAATAAACTGAGGGAAACTTAGCAAGAACTGTTTGTTCATATTCTTCTCTGTGTCCCTGTGATTTCAGAGATAAGGATGTTCTTTTCTTCCAAGTGTAGGGAGGGTACCTCTCAGATGAGAGTCTTATGACGTGCTTTGGGGGAGAAGGGGAAAAGAAAGTGACCTTCCTAGACTTTCTTAATACCACGGAGACACATTTGGGGGTAGCATGTCCTGAACCCCATAAAGAACTTTACCTATCATTTTTGAAGAATTGACACTAAATATAAGGCCCCAGGAAACCAATAATCCTTGATTAACCAGAGACAGTACAAGAAATATTTCATTCTTCTCCCCAACAAAAGTCCGTGTTCAGAGGTCCATAATCTGTACCAAGTAGTAAATTAGGTAGAAATTTCAACCCATTTCTGGAGAACTACCCATTCTTTTTGTCCTGACCCTGGCAGAAAACTGAAGAAGTAATTGAATTGAAGTGGCTCTAGATTCGCAGAGATTAAGCACTATGTTGAAATCTAGAAGACTAAATAAAAATGTGCATCAGCCTAAAATTAATTCCCCAGACTATTTTCCCTTTTTCTTTTTTTCCAGCTTTATTGAGGTATAATTCAGAGATAAAAACTGCATATATTTAGGGCTTATGAAACAATGTTTGGTATATATATACATTATGAAATGATTAACACAATCAAAGTTGACTAACATATCCATCACCTCACAGTTAACCTCTTAGTGTGTGTGGTAAGAATAGTTAAGATCTAATCTCTCAACAGGTTTCAAATTTGCAATATACTATCATTAGCAATACTCATCATGTTGTAGCTTAGATCTCCAGAACTTACTCATCACACGACTGCAAGTTAGACAATCAGTAGAATCATGTAGGGAGATTTCAGACAATACTGTCTGGGTTTCATCAACCTGAATGTCTGGATGTGAGACCTGGACATCAATGTTTAAAACAAACAGAATCTATCTATTGTTTACATGGTACTTGGAAGTCTAACCGTCAGATGACCAATACTCAGTGATACAGACAATGAGAAATGATGGAAAGGAAATTACCATGTTAACTAATGTTAAGAAAATATCTCAAGACTGAAGGAACTGAGTTTCTGGATTGAATATGCCCAACAAGATTCTGGACCAGTGCTGCTGAATAGAAATATAATGCAACAGGCCAGGCATGGTGGCTCACACCTGTAATCCTGGCACTTTGGGAGGCCGAGGAGGGCAGATCAAAGGGTCAGGAGTTCAAGACCAGCCTGGCCAATATGGTGAAACCCCATCTCTACTAAAAATACAAAAATTAGCCAGGCGTGGTGGCGTGCATTTGTAGTCCCAGCTACTCGGGAGGCTGAGGCAGAAGAATCACTTAAACCCTGGAGGCAGAGGTTGCAGTGAGCCAAGATCACACCACTGCACTCCAGCCTGGGTGACAGAGTGAGACTCTGTCTCAAAAAAAAAAAAAAAAAAAAAATATATATATATATATATACACATACATATATATATATATATAACTATATATATAGCAACAAGCCCCAAAAAGGAGCACACATATAATGTAGCTTCTGCTAATAACCATATTTTTAAAAAGTTAAAGATGAATTCAATTTCATCAGTTATTTTCTTTAACCTAATATATCAAAATATTATCACTATCATTTCAACATGTAATCAATATAAATTTAAGATATTTTACGTTTTTAAATATCATGTCTTTGAAAGCCAGTATTTATTTCACACTAACAGTCATCTCCATTCAATCAAGCCAGGTGTCAAGTGTTTAATAGTCATATGTGACGAAGCTACCGTATTGGACGGCACAAATCAAGACTCTAGAGAATGTTCAACATAATGAAGTTTTTAAATTTTTAAAATTCATTTTTAATTCTATACACAAGAGTATATCATTAGTGAAGTTTCCAAGCTTCAGAAATAGAGACAATCTTGAAATTGTTCATAGGAAGGAAAAATACAGGCCACATACAAAAGGTTAAGAATCAGAATGACCTGTGAACAACTGCAACAGCAGAAAAAGGCAATGGAGTAATGCCTCCCCAAAAATTCAACCTATAATTCTTCATGGAAGACTCAATGTTTTTGGGCATATAAGGTCTTAAATTTGTACTCAGCAACCTTTCTCAGGATGCTATTACAGCCTTTAACAAAATGAGAAAATAATTCAAGAAAAATGCAAGAATAAGATCCAGGAAATGGGGCTGTAGCACAGAAGATCGGTAAAGAAAATTCCCAGGAGTATGGTGAAAAAAAGTCCTAGCTACTTCAGAGGCTAGAGGAAAACAAAGCCATGTTGCAGCAGGAAAACATATAACTTCAGGGTATGCTTCCAAAGACATAAAAGAAACTCATAGGCTGGGCGCCATGGTTCACGGCTGTAATCCCAGCACTTTGGGAGGCCGAGGCGGGTGGATCACCTGAGATCAGGAGTTTGAGCCTGGCAAACATGGTGAAACCCCATCTCTACTAAAATACAAAAATTAGCCAGGCGTGGTGGCGGGTGCCTGCAATCCTAGCTGCTCGGGGGGCTGAGGCATGAGAATCACTTGAACCCGGGGGATGGAAGTTGCAGTGAGCCGAGGTCATGCCACTACAATCCTGCCTGGGCGACAGAGTGAGATTTTGTCTCAAAAAAAAAAAAAAAAAAAAAAAAGGAACTCATAGGTAATCTGTACCTCTTTTTATAATGGGTAGTTTTTTCAGATTGGTAAGAATTTTGGAGGATGAAGGAATGACATTTTCATAGAAAACTGTCAAATAAATTTAAATCACCCTTACTTAAACCCAGCCTGACAAAAATCAACGTATAAAAACAAATTACAAACATAAAGTGGAGAATAGTCTTGTAAGCTTTAAACAAGTTAAAATAAAACTGGCTAGCCAGAATAAAACCAAAGTTAAACCAATGAAAAAAATATCAAAATTGCTTTCAAGAGGAAATGTGAAAATTGAAAAAATTTAATGTTTCAGTCACTTCACCAGGCAATAAATGAATGGAATGAAAATTAGTAAACATACACACTTCATTTAAAGATACTTATTGGCACTAGTCAAGTTAAGGGACAAAAAATGTGGAAGTTGACTTTATGTATGTATGTAAGTTTTTATTTATTTAGAGACAGGGTCTCACTATGTCACCCAGGCTGGAGTGCAGTGATAAGATCATGGCTCACTAGCCTTGATCTCCCAAGCTCAGGTAGTACTCCCACTTCAGCCTCTCCAGTAGCTGGGACCACAGGTGCATGTCAAAATTCCTGGCTATTTTTTTTTATTTTATTATTTGTAGTAATAGGGTCTTCCTATGTTGCCCTGGCTGCTCTTGAACTTCAGGTGTCAAGTCATCCCAACCACCATGTCTGCCCTGGAAGGTGATATTTAAAAAAACCATGAACACTAGCTTTAATAAACAAAATTGTCTAAATTTCCCTAAATAAAAAGAAATGTGTAGATGTTAAAAGTAGTTTTTTAAAGTGTATTATTTAAATGAATTATTAAATAACTGTTATCTGAAATCCAAAGTCTGGTTTGATTTAAGCGATGAGTGTTCTGCTTGATTTCAAAGCACTCTGGTAATCACTAGCTATACAACTTTTAATTTATAAATATCTTCAAAAGACTTGTGAAAGAAAAGTTCAGCCTCATATGAACTTACCACTAAGTGATTAAAATCAACATAAATAAATGGAGTACTTAAATCATAAGAGGCTGGGAAATAGACGCTCCAAAAAAACCCAAATAGCAGAAAGAAAAATAATAAGAAAATGCTGAAAAAATAGTGAAGTACAAAGTAGGAAGGAAGAAAATGGCTAAACAGTAAACATGTCTTTTAGTAAAAGCAACAGTAATAAAATAAATTTCTTCATCAACCAAATTAAGAAAAAAGGGAAAGAAATTTTAAGCCTCAAAGAATTTTATGTGAGAAAGAGATTCAGTAAATTGAGATTATAAAATTTATATGGTGACATTATGTGAAAATCTATGTTAATAAATTTGAATACCTGGTTATATATCAGTGCACAATATAAAATTGATTCAAAAAGAAACAATAAAATGAAAAGGCCAATAAGCATAAAATAAATTATGAAAGCTACTGAAGCATTTCTTCCAGAAGAAAAAAATACTTTGGAATTTTTATTTTTCACCTAATATAAAACAATAAAACAACCTCATAATCCAAAAACTGCTTTAGACCATAGTAAATGCTCTGAAACCAGTTCATCTTCATTTAAATGAAGTTAGCATAACCCTGATATAAGAAACTAGCAAAGTAGTTAAATATTGTAATTATTGAGCAGTCACTAGTGAATATACCTAAATATAATAGAGCAAACAAAATATAGCAGTTCATGAGAATATTTTTTAACCATTACCAATAATAGCTTATTGCTGGAATATAAGTATTTTTGCCATTCAAAAATTAATTAATATATTAATCATAATAAGTACAATTTGAAAGTTAATGACAATCTCTGTAGATTATCAAGTTATTCATTTGTATTTAGTGCCCATTCTTGAAAAATAATTTATTGAAAAAGTATAAATAAAAGGTTTTCTTGAGCATAAATCTATTATCATTGTTAAGAATAATAAAAGAAAATGCTGTTAAAACAAGAACAGGCCACTTTGGGAGGCCGAGGTGGGTGGATCACGAGGTCAGGAATTCAAGACCAGCCTGGCCAAGATGGTGAAACCCAGTTTCTACTACAAATACAAAAAAAAATTAGCCGGGCATGGTGGTAGGCACCTGTAATTCCAGCTCCTTAGGAAGATGAGGCAGGGAATTGCTTGAACCTGGGAGGCGAAGGTTGCAGTGAGCTGAGATCATGCCACTGCACTCCAGCCTGGGCGACAGAGCAAGACTCCGTCTCAAAACAAAACAAAACAAACAAACAACAACAACGAAAAACAAGATCAGGCATGAAGAGTAAAGTTCTCACCAAAGGGCATATAATTAATGAACAATTAATTGTAAATCTCTTAAATACAGGAGCATTTCCATAAATTGACTCAAGATAAGAAAAAAATTCAAAAATAAGATATTTTTCTATATTTATAGCATTAAAAACATTCAACCACAGAAATCTATCCCAATAAAGTCTATTTGTGTATTCTATTGAAATTGTGATAGTTCTCCTTTAACGTTATTTTAAAATATCACTTTTAAAATTGTATTTGTGTTGTTTCTTCTGAATTTTCATGAGAATTTCATCGGAAAGTTGAGATGAAGCAAATATTTCACAGTAGTAATGAGGATAGCTTTCATTATGGACATCTAGACAGTTCTTTGATTACAGATTTGCAGATAATTTGAATTATTTGAACTCTAAAGCCAAAACCAGAATTTATAATAATGGGCACCTGTATTGAAAGAGTGGGTTCAAGATTTTAAAAAAATGAAATGTATATTACAGAAAAACAGGCTCTTAATGCAGGCAAACTTTATGTTTTGTTTCTTCAGTTTCTGTTTTTCTTTAGATCTCACTCAGAACATCATACGTAGCTCTTCTAAAGTATCTGTCCAGCCACGTCTTCAGCTTGACAGCTGGCATAGGAGTGCCAGGCCACCTGCCAAGTAAGAAGCCAAGCCATGCTCAAATACTGTCAAGCAGAATGAAGAGCTAATATTCTTATGGCCTAACTTTTAATAATTTGTGATTATTGGTTGGAAATGATTGTTCTTACATTTATCCTAAATTGCTTCAGAAAATGTTTCTTTTTTACTATTTAAGAACATTTCATAAAATTATTTATTATTATGGTGAGAAATAAAAGAGTTTTGGGGTTTTTTTCTTAGATAGCCAATTATTTGTTAATGAGCGTGACTAAAATTGTGAGTCTTATAACTGTAAAACAATTTTTAAAAGAGTTTCAAATTTATCAAGATTAGAAAACAAAATATATTTAAGTGCTAATTTAGCTGATCATTTAGAAAAGTTTCAGAAATTATATAAAAAGAAATGCAGAAGTAAAGATTATTACATTATTTGTAAATGATTCCTTTATACTGCATTTATTTTCATTCATTAAAACTGTATTTTTAACCTGATGAGATTTAATGGGAATCTAGTATCATTAACATTTATAAAGACTGATAACTTCTTTTATTTCCAGAGCCTACAGATGATACCAAGCTTGTGATTTAAATTATTTTAATAAATACCACCACTAATCTAAACTATATTTTAGGCATTCTAAAATAGTCTTCAGTTATTTTGTTCTCAGTTAAATTTTTTAAGTTTTATAAATGTACATAGCAAAACTGTGATCTCAAAATTGGAAAGGGGTCATATATTTAAGAATATTAGTTGACAATAACCTTAACTACTAGTATTTTCATTGCATATCAATAACTCATACTCCCGTAAATGCTACAGGAAAAAATACACAGAAATTGAATTGGACATGCCAAAAACTAAGTTCTAATTCACAGTCACAAGAAATGACCAACAAGAACAATAATAGGTAACTATAAATAATAATAACAGTTGATTGATATTATTCCACTGACAGGACAGTATTATTTTATTTCTTTTTCAGTATCTGTCATTCCAACAAATGTACTCTTACTTCTGTAGAGCTAAGAACCTTCTTGTCATTGTCTGAGTCCATCTTTCAATTTCCTCCTATTCACTGTGGCTCTTCAAGCCTGAATTCTGCCATCCCTAATTAGTGTTCATGTCAGAAGCCATGGTGCACCACAGGTTATCAAAATTAGAAGTGAGAATACCAGGAAGAACAAGAAAAGAAGCCTCGAAGCTACCATCAGTACAACTCAATGTTTTCAAGAAAAGGCAACACTGGAGATGACTGGTTTGTGAAAATCAAAAACTACTGATGATAATTATCTCCACATGGGCTCATATATGTTTTATTGTCTGGAAAAAAAATCCTATTTTGATATCTCGATACTATTAAAAAATCACTTTCAAATGAACTTTCTACATATAAAAGGAATAACTATCATAATCTAGAGTTTGTGTTTTATTTTTAAATTATTTTTTATTTTAGATTCAGGGGTTACATGTGCAGGTTTGTTACATGGATATGCTAAGTGATGCTGAAGTTTGGGCTTCTCATGACCCTGTCAACCAAGAATGTGGTATCCAATAGGATGTTTTCAAGCCTTTCTTTCTTTCTCTTTTTCTCCCTCCCTCTTTGGAATTTCCAGTATCTATTGTTCCCATCTTGTTTCCATGTGTACCAATGTTTAGCTCCCACTTATAAGTGAGAACATACAGTATTTGGTTTTCTGTTTCTGTGTTAGATTGCTGAGTCACATGGCAATTCTATTTTTAATTCTTTGAGAAATCTCCAAATTGCTTTCTACAGGGGCTGAACTAATTAGCATTCCCACCAACAATGTAAGCATTACCTTTTTTCCCCCACCTCACCAGCATCTGTGGGTTTTTTTTTTTACTTTTTTAATAATAGCCATTCTGACTGGTGTGAGATGGCATCTCACTGTGGTTTTGATTTGCATTTCTCTGATGATTAGTAATGCTGAGCATTTGTTCATATGCTTGTTGGCTTCTTGTATGTCTTCTTTTGAGAAGTGCCAGTTCATATTCTTTGCCCACTTTTTAATGGGGATATTTCCTTTTCTTTTTAAGTTCCTTTTAGATTCTGGATATTAATCTTTTGTTGGATGCATAGTTTGCAAATATTTTTTTGCATGTAGAACTTCTTTAAGTAGGTCACACTTGTCAATTTTTGGTTTTGCTGCAGTTGCTTTTGAGGACTTAGTCATAAATTTTTGGCCAATGTCTAGAAAAATATTTCCTTGGTTTTCTTCCAGGATTTTTACAGTTTGAGGCCTTAGATTTAATTTCCTTGATATATCTTCAGTTACTTTTTGTATAGAGTGAAAAGTAGTGGTCCAGTTTCATTCTTGTGCATATGGTTAGCCAGTTTCCCAGAACCATTCATTGAATAAGATATCCTTTTCCATTATTTGTTTTTGTCGATTTTGTCAAAGATCAGTTGGTTGTAGGAGTGTAGCCTTATTTCTGAGTTTTCTATTCTGTTACATTGGTTTATGTGTCTATATTTATACCAATCCCATGCTGTTTTGGTTACTGTAGCCTTGTAGTATTATTTGAAGTCAGGTAGTGTGATGCCTCTGGCTTTTCTCTTTTTGTATAGAGTTGCCGTAGATATTCAGCCTCTTTTTTGTTTCAATATGAATTTTAGAATAGTTTCTTTTTCAAATTCTATGAAAAATGACATTGGTAATTTGACAGGATTAGTGTGGAATCTATAGATTGCTTTGGGCAGTATGGACAATATAATGATATTGATTCATCCAACTCATGAGCATGAAATGAGCATGGAATGCTTTTCCATTTATTTGTGTCATCTTTCAGCGTGATTTTGTTGTTGCTGTTGTTGTTGTTTTGTCTTTAGTGCTCCTCATAAAGACATTTCGCATTTTTTAATTAGGTGTATTCCTAGGTTCTTTATATTTTTATGGCTATTGTAAATGGGATTGCATTCTTGATTTGGGTCTCAGTCTGAATGCTATTGGTGTATAAAAATGCAACTGATTTGTGTATGTTAATTTTGTATTCTGAGACTTTGCTGAAGTCATTTATCAGGTCTATGAGTCCTTGGAGGAATCTTCAGGGTTTTTTAGGTATAAAATCATAAATTCAGTGAAGAGAAATAATGTTACTTCCTCTTTTCCTATTTGGATGCCTTTTATTTCTTTCTGTTGCCTGAATGCTCTGACTAGAACTTCAAGTAAAATGTTGAATAGAACTGGTGAGAGTGGATATCCTTGTCTTGTTCCAGTTCTTAAGGGCCATGCTTCCAACCTTTCCCCAGTCAGTATGATGTTGGCTGTGGGTTTAGCATTGACAGTTCTTATTTCTTCAATGCCTGGTTTGTTGAGGATTTTTATTATGAAATGATGTTGTATTTTATTGAATGCATTTCTGCATCTATTCAGATGACCATATGTTTTTTTCTTAATTCTGTTTATGTGGTGAATCACATTTATTTATTTGCATATGTTGAACCATCCTTGCATTCCAGGAATAAAGCCTACTTGATCATGTTGAACTAATGTTTTCATGTGCTGCTGGATTTTGTTTGGTTACATTTTGTTGAGAATTTTTGTGTCTATGTTCATCAAGAATATTGGCCTATAGTTTTCTTCTTTGTTGTATCTTTGCCAGATTTTGGTATCAGGATTATGCTGCTTTATAGAATGAGTTAGGGAAGAGTCCTTCCACCTCAAATTTTTGGAATAATCTCAGTAGGATCTGCACCAGCTCTTCTTTGTGCATATAATAGAATTCAGTTGTGAGTCCATCTGGTCCACAGCTTTTTGGGTTGATCAGCAATAATGATTCAATTCCTTTGCTCATTATTAGTCTGTTCAGGATTTCTGTTTTGTCCTGGTTCAATCTTGGAAGGTTGTGTGTTTCTAGATATTTATTCAGTTTCTCTGGATTTTCTAGTTTGTGTCCATAGTGATGTTCATAGTAGTCTCAGGATCTTTTGTATTTCTGTGGAATCAGTTGTAATATCACATATGTTGTGTTCAGTTGTGCTTAGTTGGATCTTCTCTCTTTTCATTCTTTGTTAATCTAGCTAGCAGTATATCAATGTTGTTATCCTTTCGAAGACCCATCTTTTCATTTCATCGATCCTTTATATGTTTTCTGGGTCTCCATTTAGTTTTGCTCTGATTATAGTTATTTCTTTTTTACGCTAGCTCTGGATTTAGTTTGTTCTTGTTTTTCTAGTTCCTTTAGGTTGAGATTAGGTTGTTAATTTGAGATCTTTCTATCTTCTTGATGTAGGCATTTAGCACCATAAACTTTCTTCTTATCACTGCTTTTCACACATTCCAGAGGTTTTGGTATACTGTGTGTCTATTTTCCGATTTCAAAGATTTCTTTAAATTTCTCCCTTAATTTCATTGTTTGCACAAAAATCATTCAAGAGCAGGTTGTTTAGTTTCTATGTATTTGTGTGGTTTTGAGAGTTCCTCTTGGTGTTGCTTTCTATTTTTATTCTACTGTGCTCTGAGAAGATGCTTGGTGTGATTTCAGTTTTTTAAAACTTATTGAGACTTGCTTTATGATGAAGTTTGTGGTCAATCTTAGAGTATGTTATGTGTGCAGATGAGAAGAATGTATATTCTGTGGGTTTTGGATGGAAGATTCTGTAGCTGCCTATTAGGTCCAATTGGTCAAGTGCCAAATTTAAGTGCAGAATTTCTTTGTTTTCTGCCTCAATCGTCTCTCTAATTCTGTCAGTGGTGTGTTGAAGTCCTTCACTACTATCGTGTAGCTGTTAAAGTCTTTTCTTGGGTCTAGAAGTAAGGTTTTATGAACGTGGGAGCTCCAATATTGAATACATATGCATTTAGAGTAGTAAATCTTCTTGTTGAATTTAACTCTTTATCATTATGTAATGTCATTCTTTGTACTTTTGTACTATTGTTGCTTTGAAGTCTATTTTATCTTTTTATCTAATACAAAAATAGCAATCCCTGTCCTTTTTTTGTTTTCCACCTGTGTGACAGATCTTTCTCCATCCTTTTATTTTGAGTCTATGGGTGTCATTACATGTGAAATGGTTCTTCTGAAGATAGCAGAAAGACTGATATTGGTTTTTTTTTGTTTTGTTTTGTTTTTTTAATCCAATGTGGGGCTATGTTTTAAAGCAAAAACAAATAGTATGCCAGGCTTATAGAGCAATAACCCTAATAAGTTTTTTAATAAACCATGCTTATTATTTACTTTTTTAAACAAAATTCAAGTACATTCTGAGGCAATCTAGAAAAATTCTTTTATTTTCTTCTTTTCTACTTTCTTCCTCAAGTCTATTAAGCAAAGGCAATCTTTGCCAGGAGTGATTTTCATACTTACACACACATAAATCTTTCATAAACTATGCAAGCATAATCATATACGTAGTTTCTGCAAACTGTATTTACCTTATTTCAGAAACATAACTTTAGAGAATTTCAAAATGTACAAAAATCTAAGTCTTGTTGGCCATAATTATAATTCTAAGAAAAGTTTCTGTTTTTATCCTGTAACTATAGAAAATCTACTGGGATTTGGGAAGATGAGAATAACTTCTTTCTCCCTGAAAAGTAATATTTACTTACTGGAAATTGTAGTGAGTCTTATGGAAATAATGATTGTGTAATAGTTGAACTCGACTTTCAAGAAAAAAAAGGTGAGTTTTGCTAGTTGTGCTGTTCACCAATGTTTCAAGAAAGGAATTTACTGATGTCAGAGTAATATATCTTAAGGGAGGATTCGGCATAGTGACTATCATTCATGCTTGTATTAAGAAAAAACGTCATTTTTTTTAAATGGTATGCTATTAAATTCCTTCAGTTGGTTGTTACTATCTTTCTGCTGATAATTTCTATTTTGGTCATTAAAATTTTGGGTAGTTTAATTTACAAGGGAAAGATAGTAAGAAAGAAAAAGCTGAAGTTTGAATCAATCAAATGTACTATTTCATTGTGGTTCCAGTAAAAGGTTTGATGGGAAAGGAGACTGTACCTATTAGCTAATCTCCAAACAGCATTTCATCTCTGAATCTAATTTATTATCCCCTTACATAAATAATCAAGATTTGACTGCTCAAAAGTCATTGCCAACATCTCCATACATACTTGAGTATCATTCATCATCTCCTTTCCCACCATCCCCATCACACGCTGTGGCAGTGCTATCATCCCTGCTTCTAGGCTTTTAACCTTTACGTCTTCATCCACATTCCTCAATAGATTTTTGCCCTATCTAATGCATTCCCAAGAAACCTTATACTTAGTTTTTAATGTTGCCATCTCTTTCCTCTTTCCTATAAGTACAGTGCCTCTCAAAGCAGACTCTAAAAATAATCACCCATTCAGTAGTACCCATGAACAAATCATATCTCATTTGTTCAAAATGTTCTTGATTACTTCTCTGTTGAACTTTCTTAGAATAATCTACTCTTTCTCCTTTAGGTACTTGAATTGTGAGTATGGGTTTTAAAGGGACTGAGGAATCTAAGAAAACACACCTCTGGCTGGGGTGAATAGAAAGGTACTGGAATCATAAATAGAGATTGAAAATATAGGCAAAATCAGCATTGTGAGTCCTGAATCAAAGAAGGAGGTTTGATGCATGTGGAGCATGATACTGTATATCTAAGTGGATATATGTCCAGTAAGTAATTGCAAATTTACATTTGAATCTCAGTTCAAGGTTGTAGCTAAAATTCAGATTGTACAAGTGTATATGGTCCTATTGTGATAACATCTTCCTAAAAAAATGAGAATGTTAAGGCAAAAATATTTCATTTTCACATATTTTGCTAGTGGCTGAGCTGAATTCAAAATTCAGATTTTTCTATTCATTCTTTTATACAAAACTTAATATACTGATCATAATAAAATAGTCTTCAACCATTTTAGTATTGACAATTATAAAATTGTCAATTTTATAGTATGGACAATAATGTTTGGAATAAAAAATAACATAAAGGCAAAACTGCTTATAAGTCTTCATCATGGTAGTTAATTTAAGTCAGATTTAATAAAGGACAAAGGAAAAAGAATGTGTATATGAAGTAAAAAATGAGGTTCTGGCACTTAGAAGGCTTTAGAAATTAAGACCCTAGGATTTTCAAAATTATACCTAATTTTACATCAAAACTCATGACTTTCTTTATTTCTTCTTTCTCTACCACCATCAATAGTTTTATATTTGACTAGCTTTGTGGAAGTCTCTGAAAATATGAGAAATAAAATACATTTGAAATAAAACACACTGAGTTATCAGAGCAAGAATGAAAGAGAGAAATGTAGTACCAGCACAATCTCTGAAATAGAAGAAAAAATATGGTGAGAAAAAGTGTGGTTGTCTGAACAAGCTGATTGTAGGAATGGGGTTGGAGAAGACTTTAGTTTGAATGAGTCACTCTTATCTCGCATTTTAATATGTGACTGAGATTGCTGAGAAGGAAAATATTTTTCTTCTTTGTGAAGTTGCAGTGTCTGGGTTTCCAAGCCCAAATGCTATGCAACTCTCTAAGAACTTCATGCTTGACAGTCCTTCTACCACAATGGAAAGACGAGAATCAGAGGGAAAACTTATTGCAGTGGCAGATTTGAAGCCTTAGAAAAAAACTGCTTTTGTTGATATTATAGAAGAAGCTACAGAACCACTTAGGGGATAATTCGGTCACTTCTCTCTTTTGTACTGTGTACTTTTCAATTGTCATTGGAAATTTGCTTCCCAGTAAGCCTTCCGTATCTGTGGGCTGTGACACAAAAGCTTTACAAGCTTAAGCAAGTAAAGTGGATACTGTAATACCTTCCACAAAGTACTGGGAAAATAAAAAATACGACTAAGTTTTCAGGAGCAAGTACATTTGTTAAATTCACTGAGCCACTGGGGAGAAGGAATCTCCTTGACAATAAATGCTTTTCTGAAAAAGTAACCAAATGCATAGTCATTTGTATGCTAAAGTGTTACTAGTCAACAAAAGAAGGAACATGTGCAGTAGCATTTAAATGCTACTAATCTTTTGATGGACAAAAATTAATTATTATACAGGCATAGCACAATGAGAAACACTCAACATAGTCAGACAGGAGTGAAAAATGTCTATCGAAAACTAAGAATTTAGAGGAAAAAGTAGGCATTTCCTATATTAACTTGAATAATTGGAGACCATTATTCTAAGTGAAGTAACTCAGGAATAGAAAACCAAACACTGTATGTTGTCACTCATAAATGGGAGCTAAGCTATGAAGATGCAAAGACATAAGAATGATACAATGGAATTTGGGAACTTAGGGGAAAGGGCAAGAGGGGTGTGAGGGATAAAAGACTGCAAAATTGGGTACGGTATATACTGCTTGGGTGATGAGTGCACCAAAATCTCACAAATCACCACTAAAGAGTTAACTCATGGCCGGGCATGGTGGCTCACACCTGTAATCCCAGCACTTCGGGAGGCCGAGGCTGGAAGATCACCACAAGTCAGGAGTTCAAGACCAGCCTGACCAACATGGTCACCGTCTCTACAAAAATACAACACCATCTCCACAAAAATACAAAAAATTAGCCAGGCATGGTGGCAGTGCTTGTAATCCCAGCTACTCAGGAGGCTGAGGCAGGAGAATCACTTGAACATGGGAGGCGGAGGTTGCAGTGAGCAGAGATCATGCTACTGCACTGCAGCCTGGGCGACAGAGCGAGACTCCATCAAAAAAAAAAACAAAAAAAAAAAAACAGAACTTACTCATGTAAACAAACATCACCTGTTCCCCCGAAAACCCATAGAAATAAACAAACAAATAAATAAAATAATACTTAGTCCCCTGATACTTCCCATAGCTAACAGCAGCAGCAACAAGACCAGGTTACAAACTGAAGGTTTAGCACGTTATACTTTAAAATCTCTCTACTACTTGCTCAAAAATTGTATTTTTGTTATTATTTTTGACAATTAGGAACTCATATTTTAACAACCTCTATGCAATAAATAAAATCATCATAAATGAAAATATAATTTGAAAGATAATAGTTCTAGTTCCATTAATAACGATAAACACAAAAAAACAGAGAATTTTAACAACAACCGAACTTGAAATTCAAAGATGAAAGAGGCAATATGGAAAATCACAAACAATAAAATTAGGGCATAAATAGAGCTGAGCTTTAGGCATAGACCTGTAGTTGACGATCCATAAATCTCCAATTTTATATCATAAATCTTAATTCAAAAATAAAAAAATATATAAAATAAATGTTTAATGCTCTCTATGTAAATTTACTGCATAATACAACTATGTACTGTACCCGTACAATGTACTGGGTCTAGGTCATGTTATTAAAGTGGAGTAAAAACATGTGTAAACATTGCAATTCTTAAGAGAAAAAATGAAGTGAGCTCCTATACCGTCTTGATTGCCCAGGAGAATCTGAGATTATAGTTTAAAGAGAGTAAAAGAAAACTAAGTACTAAATGAGGGGAGTGCAGAGACTAGAAACCCAACATATTCACGCAAGAGTAGCCTAAATAATGTTCTCCGTAGAGAAAAAATGTTTAGATATTTGGAGGCACATCTCTAAGGGCATCACAAAGTTCTAGCATATGTGGGACTTCTGGATGAGAAACATTGCTTTAGGTAAATAATTATCAATCAAGATGCTATTTTGATCATAAACTATAAGTGTTAGCCTTTTCTATATTTGACCACTAGAATTTTCATTTTATAGTATCAGCTGCTCAGGTTGGATAAACAGATTGGTTGAAACCCTACAACTACTCCACCTTCTAGTTGTATGGCCATGAGTAAAATACTTAGGCTGTATAAACATCAGCTTTCTAACCTAAAAAAAAGAAAAAATATATATATAATACTATAAATAAGTAATGGTGCTAATAGTGTCTACTTCAAAAGTTTATTATTACAAGTAAACGAATAAATCCATGGATAGTGTTTCAAACTATGTCTGGGACACAGTAGGCATGTAATACATGTCTGCTATGATTTTTTGTAGTGGACCATATTCATACATTTATACTGGAAGCAGCTGAGAAGCAGATCGAGGCATTAGCACCAGTCATAATGGTCTTTCAATTCCACAAAATTTTCCAAGCCCTTTCCCGCTTTAGGATGCTTGAATATGCTGTTCTCTTCGCCTAGAATACTCCCTTGCCCTTTCTTCACCTTGCTAATTCCTCCTCAAACTCTCAGTCTCAGCTGTCTATTCTTCTACTGTGAGTCCTAACCTGACTTGCCCTTCCACTCCTGACATCTAGTATAACTCAAAATTACCCTGTATATTAAGGCACCGTATCATTTACTTTTCTTTTATATCTTAATTATAAGTTGTATGTGTTTGTGTGTGTGTGTGTGTGTGTGTGTGTGTGTGTGTGTAAAACTCTCCATATGAATTCCTGCCATTTTCTAAGTTCAATAAGGGAAGCGATCATGTCTATTTTGTTAGCTTTAAATACAGTGCTTAGTATATCATTATTATTCAATACATATTCATCAAATAAAATAATGAATAAAATTAAATAAGTGAATGAATAGAATTCATGAGAAATAGAGCTGATTATAATTAGCTTGTGGATAGTGCTGAATTCCAGAATACCTCATCATTTTTTAAAGACACGTAATAAAAATGTTGAACAAGAAGCACAAGTTAACATCTCCTTGTATCTCCTTCCCATGATAGGGATATGGGAGAAATGTCATTATTCATAATGTAGCCAGAATTTCCTCTAAGATATTTCAAGAGAAAAGGGCAAAATAATCATAACATCAATCAAAAAATCATAATTTCTCCAAAAATACAAATAGAATACCAGTAAATTACATCAAAAATAAGCTTACATAAATAAGGTACATAATCTCTTCAAATCTGTTCTTTACTTGACTATGGATATGTTGAAGTCAGAGTATTCAGAAAAAGGAATTTTTTTTTAACTAAAAGGTATAAAAATAAAGTGCCTTATTTTATCCTTTTAGGAAATATTAGGATCTTTTAGAAACAAGTAGTTGGCATACTCTAAAATATAAATAACCTGTTTATTAAAATGAGAGCTTAGTGCATCTTCCATAGTTGATCTTACATCTTATTCATATGGAGTAATAATCTGAGCTATAGTTCTTAATCATGGTTATAGATTTGTGTTACCTGTGAAAATTAAAAAAATCAAAGTGTCCAAGATTCAAAGTCCAGAAATACTGTTTCAAATGGTATGGGGTACGTTTTAGGCATTAGTGTATTTATTAAAGCTTTAGAGCTGACTCTGATATGAAGATAAAATTAGATACCACTTCTTCATAGAGAGATATAAACTTGATTATGATTGAGAAGCAATATCTGAACACTTCTCAAAAAATAACACTGAATACTGAAGCAAGATTGAGAAATTATATGGGTACTCTTAATCACCTGCTTTATTTGTACTAGATAATTTTAATAACCTGCACACTTGAAAAATATTTAAATATAGTCATTTGAAAGTTCTGTACTTCGTCTAATTTCCCATTTAATTAAATATCATTTATTTAATTTAATTTGACAAATATTTATTGAGCTCTTGCTATACCCAAGGCACTTTTCTCCGACATTGAGAAATCAGAAAGTGTAAAATTTGATTATAGAGCTTATGTCAAGTGGAAACACAAACATACATAGTTTTTTAATTAAAAAAATGATAATGCCATGATGGAGTATTCTGGTACATAAAGTATACAAACTTCCTCCTTCTCCCCAAGACACAGGCAACTTAATGGAGCTGTCAAAGATTTTCATGAAGTGGGTAGCATTTGAGATGGATACAAGAAAATGAATAGGATTTTTACTGCAGAACATAAAGAAGAATTGAGCAGGCTGGGTGCAGTGGCTCACGCCTATAATCCGAACACTTTGGGAGGCTGAGGCAGGCGGATCACGAGGTCAAGAGATCGAGACCATCCTGGCCAATATGGTGAAACCCCATCTCTACTAAAAATACAAAAATTAGCTAGGAGTGGTAGCGCGCCTGTAGTCCCAGCTACTCAGGAAGCTGAGGCAGGAGAATCGTTTGAACCTGGGAGGTGGAGTTTGCAGTGAGCCGAGATCATGAGTCTGCACTCCAGACTGGCAACAGAGCAAGACTCCATCGAAGAAGAAGGAGGAGGAGAAGAAGAAGAATTGAGCGAAGATTTGGAGCCATAAAATAAGTGATGTTTTGAGGAATTTGGCTAGATCAGGAAGATGATAGAAAGGAGTGTAGGGGCCAGATTACTGAAGGCTACAGATGTTTTCTACCCAGAATTATTGATCCTATGATCATTGCAGAGGTACATATGGTATAGAAACAGAAGACATAATCTAATTCTATTCCTCCAAGGAATGTTTAGTGATATTTGGGAAAATAATGCACACATGAAATAAGAATAGCATAATATGAATATTAAGTCATATATTACTGATGAATACTATATCTCAGAAATTGAGATAAGCATATTGCAGAGCAAGGGAAGAGCATTCACAAAACTATGTAGCAGGCTAACTGGTTATCCCAATTCAATTAAAACACACGGTTCCTGAAAGAAAATAATGGGAAGTGAAGATAAAAAGGTGAGAGAGAGTAAGACCATAGAGGACCCTATATATAAAAATTTAAATTTGTTGGCTTTTTAATGGTCAATAAGGATTCTCTAACAATCTGTATAACAAAGAAGTAGAGAAATGACAGGATTAGATTGTCGTTGTTGTGTTGTTGTTGTTGATGTTGTCCTTGTTCAAGCAGTCACCATTTGCCTGGAACAGAATTAGACTTTTATGGTGGGACTTGGGTGCACTGCAAAGGAGGAAAGCCACAGGCAGAAGAAATAGTTACGTGGCTACTGCAATAGTCCCAACAGGAAGTAATGAGATCCAGAACATAGTGGCATGTAGATCAGAAAGAGGATGTGTAATTGTACTGTGAGAACATTTTGACTGAAGAAGAGGGCTAGGTTGGTGGGTATGGGAGTTATCTTTGAAAAGAAAGGAAGATAGAAAATTAAGTAAAAGGGTGTCTTAGACGTTTGGATGTGACAGAGAGAGCGAGTATCCACTGAGGTCCTTAGCCACAGATTGGTTAAAAACTTTATGACTTTCATCACTGTCACTTCATGATTATCAGCTTTGCTTCATTATCAAAAGGCTTTAACCCAAGCTACTTCATTTTGACATGCCTACAGATCTGACATCCCTCGTTGCTACTAAAGGGGCAAGAATATATATTCCTCATAGCTTGATTTCCCACCATAAATCAAATTTAGAAATTATATAAATGCTAAATGTTCATGGTAGTTTGTTCTAGATATTACTCTCAATTTTTACTGACTACCTGAGGATTAATAAGAATGGTCATTGATAAGCTTATTTGGTAGGTGAAAAGTACTGACTAAATAATGTAAGAGCTATTTGCTTATCCTAAATTAAAATTCCCTTTTGCAAATGACATAGTGGGCATAAGCGAACATTACTGTGTGATCTAATTAAAAGATATAAATAAATATAAGAGGGGTAAAAACATCTAGCTTAACAATATTAAGTCTGTCAGTGCTGAAAATATTTCTGGCTTTAAAAAGCACTTGCCATTTGGTTACATTAGGGAAATTCATAAAGTAAAATTAATTTTCCAAGATGAAAACAATAAAATTGAAAATAAAGTTAAAATATAATTATAATGAGAAAAAATTCTGAAAAATAAGTGCCATGCCCTATGAAATATATTTGCGGAAAATAAAAGCAGAAGCAAAGTTCACTTTTGGCTCATCACTTAACTATATTTATAGAGCTGCACGTATTTTTCAAGTCTTGACATTGACAATTCCTCAATAGTAACTAATTTTGGAAAAATGAAAAGATTTCCAGTAATACATTAAGCTGTATTATTAGTCAACATAAACAGCCCAAACGTTAATACAATTTAGATCATTTAAGACTAACAAAACTGTGACTAAATTAACATTGACTCATCTGTTGTACAGTAATTGCTAAATAACTGTAAAATACATTCTGTTCATTGCTGTTCCAATTATAATGTCCTTTTCTATGCACTTCTGTGTTCATCTACATTTAACTAAGAATAATGGAAAAGCAAATACTTACCAAAATGGTGGTAACAATCAAAGAACGATTGGATAAGGAATCTGTGATGTTCGCTGGCTTTCCCTTTTGACTTTCTGTCATATTCAGGCCACTGGCTGGATCCCACGTTCCAATCTATAAAATAGCATATGTACTTTGTAAATTGTCCATCAGGCACGTGGTAGAGAGTACTGCAAAAGAAAGTTAAGATTGCTAACACTTATTATTCACCTTTGCTGCATTGTCTGCTGCCGTTAAAGTAAAGGCAGCTTGTTTAAAGCATGATTCACGGCTCTGTGAAGTGTGTTCAGTGAAGTGTAACATTAAAGAACAAAACGATCCACTGAACTTCTCCAGTCAGTGTGGGAGCTTAATTTTCCATTCAAGCTTTCATTCACCAAGATAAACCACATTTGATGATACCTTGATAGCTGGCTAGAAACTCATTAATGGCATACATCTTTTACTGTAATGGATCTATTTCATCCTCTCATAAAGATAACATGCCATATTATACAGACAAAGCTAAAAGACAGCGCAAAATCTAGGGATCCAAGATAAATTAATAGGTAAAGGTAGGCTTAAGGGAAGCATTGAATAGTATTTTGCACTACCCCTGGTGGGATAAGACCATGCCCAGAATTATCTTTGGAGATTTAAAAACGCATCTTTGCACCTTTTAAAGTGCTCCCAAGAAAGGAGAAGACAGTAAAATCTGATCTGAATAACACATTCCAATACTTTCTTCTGTGATCCATTTAATATGAATTTTAATTTAACTAATATCTTCTGATAGATTAGGTCATATACTCACAGTGTTTAGACATTTTGTATTCACTGAACACAGACTATGAGATAATGCAGATAAGCCTCCAGAAGAAACACGTAAGCACAGGATGTCACAAAATGCATTCATTAGATGGTTTATTGACACTTATACCATTGCACTATCATATAACAATGATCAGCAGCAAGGAAGAGCAGAGGCAAAAGAAGATGTGAAATCAGTTCTTTTTCCTCACTGTCTCATACCCAGGAGTAATCAATAACAAAATTTGTCTTCCATACTCTCCTAGACAAGTATCCAACTTATTTTTCTCAAAGAAAAGGAAAACTATCAAATTATCTTTAAAATAAGTCTTTGTATATAAATTAAGTCTTTTTAAAATGGCATTGATTTAGCAGGTATTATTTACTCTGTTCTAACTAAATATGCTAACAAAGGTCCCATCAGCATAATCTCTTTGCCATATTTCCTCATATGGAGTTAATTTTCCTCTCACCATTAAATTCTGTATATTCCTGATGTTGGTGTTAGGAAGGAAAAAGTCAAGTAATTCAGTATTCTTTCCAAACTAAACCACCTACTGGCCAATTTACATTTCTTTACATTAGACTATGCTTATGACAATGTCCTAAAGATGGAGCCTAATTCTATTTCAGAGTCAATAATGAAAGGCTTCAGGAGCCAAGCCGGTCATATCAATGTGAAACATGATAATGTACAGGGCCGTAGTAAGAATTTCTATGCAAGTATGTGCAATTTTTAAATCTCACAAAATGTCAAGACACAGTAGAAAGGAGGGGCCACAATCCCAATCCTGCTTTTCCAACAGCTGTGTGCCTTGGGGCTGCATGTTCCCAGAGCAGGTGCTTTAGTTGAGTTTCCGGTAAGGCACCACCAGGGCTAGTAGAGGGCCTGCTGGGGACCTGGGTAGGGAAGGATGGAGGGGTGTCAAAACTAGAATGCCTGTTGACCTGCTTAAACTATTTAATTTTTTAAAAATTAATTAATTTATTTATTTATCTATTTTTGAGATGGAGTCTTGCTCTGTCACCAGGCTGAAGTGCAATGGTGCAATCTCTGCTCACTGCAACCTCTGCCTCCCGGGTTCAAGCAATTCTCCTGCCTCAGCCTCCCGAGTAGCTGGGACTGCAGGCGCCCGCCAACACGCTCGGCTAATTTTTGTATTTTTAGTATTTTGTATTTGTATTTTTAGTTTCACCATGTTGGCCAGTTTGGTCTCGATCTCTTGACCTCATGGTCCGCCTGCCTTGGCCTCCCAAAGTGCTGGGATTACAGGCGTGAGCCACTGTGCCCGGCCAAAGTGTTTCAAATTTAAAATCATTTGCAAATACTCTTGGCTAAACAAGACACATCTGCAGATAGTATTTTGCAGTGAATGACTGTCACTTTTCTATACCTGGTCCATAATTAATACCTATCATGCATTTGTTCCCTTAGATTTTACTTTTTTTTTTAATATAAATTGGCAAAATAGCTAAGATTTTCAGATGTGTAATGCTACCAGTGAAACCACTGACAAACATCATTTGTTCACTGTCGTCTATCTAATAAAACCTTAGAAAGTTTTCAACTTTCTAACCAAGTAACTAATACAAAGAATTTCCCATTTCACATAATGCCACCCTCCATTATTACTTTTATAAAAATAATTTAGCTAAATGTTCACTCAACTTACCATCTGAAAATACTTCTCTAGTTTCATTATTGGTTAGTTGCTTTTCTAGTTTTTTTGGAGTTCTGACACAGATGAATATTACATGAATCTACAATTTCCTATATTCACAAGTATTAGTTATCCTCTTTTGTAAATCTCAGCTTTCTTAGCGTAATATTATGACATTTCAGAAATATCAGTGGCTTTAATATTTTAAGTCAAATAAAATTTTAGATATTCCTAGATTGTCAACTACATGATTCAAAACTTTCTTCCATTGAGGAAATTGTCACCAGAGGTTTTGTTTTGTTTTAATGGCAAAAAACATGGACAAAGTGATAGCAATCTATTTTTGTCTATTCGGGAACCACTATTTTGTCATATGACTTGATCAAGCCTTTGAAATACTTTTTTTTTTTTTTAGCTCTGAAACGCAATTAAGATGCTTAAGCACTGTTGACCTTACAGAATTGTTTTATATATGGTGACTCTACATCCTGGTTTGCCCAGGTACTGTTTTCATTAATAATACCCTCTTGTACAAATAAAAAATATCATGATTTGTGTAATAAATTATAGGGCCATTCTAATTATAAGGATTCAATTAGATACAAGAAATATGAAAGTGCTTCAAAAGTCATAAGGAGCTATAGAAAATTATGATTTTATTCATTTTTATTTTATGTTCTGATTGGCTCTTTGATTTCTTCTTGTGGTCAGAAAAAGAATGCATATTAATTGTCATGAGATTATAAAATATGCAGAAGATATAAGAAGAAGATCAATTTAAACTTTGATCCTATGAATACACCCAGAGTCAATCATGGTTAATATTGTGGTCCTATTTTTTCCTGTCATTTGTCTTTCCACACACATTCCTTGCACAGTTTCCATCATAGCCTTGTTGTTAATGGCCCAGCTTTTATGGACAGCGTATTTGACTGCCAGGATCCTATGTCCACCACTTAACATCAGGTGACTCGGGTACATTATTTCTTTGTGTCACAATTCTCCCATCTGTAAATGGGAAATAATAGTATCTACTTCATAAACTATAGTGAAGATTAAATGAAAAAGTATTCAACATAGTGTGATTAAATGAAAAAGTATTCAACATAGTGTGTTTATAAGTATGCTATAATTATGACAATTACTAATTATATTCTGTTTATACACTATTGTGAGCATTTTCTCCTGGCACCAAAGATAATCAAATCCATAATTATAATGACTACACAAAATGATCATATGAACATATCGTGATTCAACTATCATTGTTACAAGGCCTTAGTAAACACATTTATTTATAAATATTTGTTCACACATTTTATCATTTTAAAAACAGATTTCTAGAATTAGAATGACTGAGCACAGATAATCTGAGTTGTTAAGATTATTACTATATGTTGCCAAATAACTTTCCAAAATAATTTCTCTACTTGTTATCTTTCCCTTTACAGTTCATGGTAGTTTCCATAAGACAACTGTATAACAATTTAGCTTTTAATAGTTTGAATAACATCAGATTATATTATAAAGGTTTATAATTGTCAAGTCTTTTAACTGTAGATGGTGTTATTGATAAAAATAACTGTTTTTATTTCAATTACTTTGTTTTACGTAAACTCTCAATATATATTATTAATCACACTTACTTTACCTCCATTATTTGTTTCTTTGCATTTGCTGATAAATCATTATATATATTTTCACTTTCAACATATTTCTCATTTTGTTGGATTTTTTTATAATTAGTGCCTTAGTAGATTTTTTCAATGTCCTAACTTTTTCTCTTACTGAATCTTATCTTTATTTAGCCTTGCTCCTTTCACATTGTTTGGTGTTTATTATTTACTTTCTACTCCTGGAAATTTTCCTATGGTAATTGGGAGATAAAATACATTTAAGTCTACTAATGTGTATTATCAGCTTCTGTTTGAAATATTACTATCATGCTGAAAAACGAATATTCAGCCATAAAAATTGAAATATCTACTCTACGAAAATTATCTATGCTTTGTCCCATTCTGCTGCCACACATACTGATTCACAGTTTTAGTTAACATTTTTTTTTTTTTTTGAGATGGAGCTTGCTTTGTCCTTCAAGCTGGAGTGCACTGGCACAATGTCGGCTCACTGCAACCTCTACTTCCTGGGTTCAAGCAATTCTCCCCACCTCAGCCTCCCAAGTAGCTGGGATTACAGGCACCCACTACCATGCCCAGCTAATTTTTATATTTTTAGAAAAGATGGGTTTCACCATATTGGCCAGGCTGGTCTTGAACTCCTGACCTCAGGTGATCTGCCTGCCTTGGCCTCCCAAAGTGGTGAAATTACAAGCATGAGCCACCGTGCCCAGCCGGTTTTAGTTAATTTAATGTGGGGTTGTAAACACTGCCTCTCTTTATTTTGCTTTGTGTATTATGAATTATTTTGCTACAAGGAAAAGGTTGTAATTTTGATATAATTTGTAAAGTCATTATTCAAAACTATCTTTTTTTGTGCTTAACTGAATTTGATGTTTACTAGGATATCTAGCCACAGTTTCTTCTGAGTATTTGCTTTTCACTTATCATTGTACTTACACAAGATAATTTATTATAAAAGATAATTATGTGACATACTTTTATGGTTGCAGACTTAAAGGTATTTTTGCTGCCTTCTTATATAAAGAAAACTTAGCTAAATGAAGACCTATTATATCAGAGCCGTCTTCCTTCAGAGCTAAGTTTTATTCATTTTTCTCTAGTATTAATGTTGCTCAAAAAGACTGAGAGCTACCTCATATGTATTTTGCTATTGGTGAATATTTTTTCTTGAAAGTCTTCAGTATTATCATTTGGAAATATTAAATCTCAACAAGTACATATGTGTGTGTATATGTGTGTGTGTGTGTGTGTATATGTGGATGTTTACATATGTCTATGTAGATGTATGCATGTATCTCTATATATAGTACATTTATGTATATGCATACATAGCATTTATGTATATGTTATATACGGATGTGTATATCATGTATATATGAACTTTTTGCAAAATATGTTACCTAAAGACTGAGTAGAAAGAGAGAGAAACAATGGTTCTTTTCTTAAATTGTCAGAAATATAATGCATTTCTCCATTTTCTGAACATAGACTTTGTTGCATCTTGTAGTTCTCAATTATTTGTGTCCTCATGTCTTCTATAGAAGGTGTACTCTTTCCCTTTTCACTACCTTATGCATGTATCTTAATTACTGTTTCAAAATATAGGTAAAACAATTCCTCCTCTGTGCAGTAATGGATGATCGTTTATTACGCTTCCATACACAGCAATTTAGTTATGCTTTTACTTACTACAATAAGTATCATATTATATTTTAACTGTTTACTTATCTCTGTCTAGTAAAAACTAATTCCCTACGGATGGAGACTTTGGCATACTCATCTTTTTACCCCAAGGCCTTTGAATATAGGACATCCTACGGGCTTTATATGTGAGATCTCTGAACATACTGGTTATATAACCAATAAACGTTTTATTTATTGAACATAAATAATAATATTTATTGAACAGAAATAAATGTTTTATTTTCCTCATCTCAGAAATGCCACTTATGTATTGCTTTGAATCCAAATTATATTTCATTTTTATTGATCCTGCTGTGTTAAACTCTAAGTGCCTTCACAAAACGAAACATTTCATCAATCTTTAAATTATATAATAAATATCCAATGAATATTTATTGAATAAATAAATAGAGTAAGTGAGTGAATTACTCCATGATAAAAACTTTCAGACTTTTTTGGTTGACTTTCCAATATCATTCATTCATTTGGCAAATGTTGAACATACATATGTGTCTATTCTTTTATAATTACATATTTTGTTTTCCATATTTTATCTTCATGTTTTTTGTGTTATTCTTAATGTTTTAAGATCTATCTCAATATCATATTTAATGTTTGAAATATTATGCCACATACCTTTACTATGAATTTCCATTTTTTCCTAATTATATTTTATAAGTATTTTAAATAAATATTTTACACTATAGGTTTTGTTTTTCAGGAATGTGTAAATTATTCATATAATTTTGTTTTATAAGTATATTTTCTCTTTGGTTTCTGTGTATTTTTTTCTAGGTAGAAAACAACAGTTTTCAGAATAATTTTTAAATTATTTATCTTATTAATTAGTTGCTTCTTTATTGTTTATTTGTTTATTTTTGGTGACAGTTTTCTCAGTACAAATTTTGTTTTGTAACTCATATTACTACTTTAAATCCAAAAAATGTTTCTATTTCCTCTATTGGGCTATATAATTGTTAACCTCTGAAAGTAGCATCTTTTCTTCTAAAGATGCATGTTAGCTCTGTTTTGTGTACACCGGATCAATGTCACACATTTCTTATTTTCTATGAAATTTATGGAAATAATTTGCTTGATATGTATACAAGAAATTTTTCAAGTAGGAACAAAATAAACATTCCCAGTTAGTTTTAAAAATATTAGTTCCAAATAAAGTTAAATTTATTTTAAATTAAGAAATAATTTAAATTCTCCACTAAAAAATACCTGATACAAATCTATCAAAATTCTCTTTATACTTTCTTACTGGCATTGACTCACAAAATATTCACTGGATGTTGGTAGATGGAAAAAGAAGCAATATAGTTTTCCATTAGACAACAATGTAAAAATGTAAAAAAGAAAGTTATTTGATTGTACATTGTTTTGACTTAATGTCAGGAGAATGTGTCAGCCTTGAATAAAGAATATAAGCCATAGTTTTCCACAGAGATCCTGTGTGATGATAATGAGAAACCACACTGTACATGGGTTTCCAACAGTCTTAGCACAATGCAGACTCTCCATCTTAGAATATGTTTGCTTAAAGAAATTTCTTTCCAGTAATGAGTTGCCCCCAACCATATGACCTACAAAGTATAGTTTTCCTTGAAGTATATTGACTACTTCCCTTGGAAAAAAGTTGGCACCCCGATAGTACTGTTTGAGGGAATTGAGAAATAGAAAGCATAAGAAAGAGATTTATATTAAATGCTGATTTACGTATGAAAGATGTTTCCTGCAATTGACTGAATATACACTAGTGGACTGTTTATTTCTCTATTAACTCATATACCTATTATTTCTGAAAACCTGGGTTTCTCAAGCCAATACAATGCATGAATATTGGGTACAGAAATTTTTTTCAACAGATTAGTTTTCTCACTATTAGTGGGAAATTAGAGACTTTTGTTTTCCTTACTTCACTCCTTCAAATGATGAATAGTTAAATGAAAAGTAGAGATAGTTAGTTGCATTACCGTCTAATAACCCTTGACACCGAAGTTTAATAACTGTTTACTTCCATTGAACTAAGTGTTGAAAAGAGAGCACTTAAGCATTGGCACCTGAGCTCTAGAAAACAAAAAGAAATATTTTACAGCAAAGCCTATGTGCTTCCTGCCAGCTAGAATTTGAGTCCAGAGCAATTGTCTGGAAATTGGCTGACCTTCAGATATAAGTTAATTGGCCTATAAGGATAGGGCAAAGAACGCTTTCGTAATCAGCGTCCTGAAACTCTCAACTAGTGTGCATAGGATCTCGGATTTTACCATTCGAGAACTATAGTGCTAATATGAGTACAATAAATCAGTAAGTATATAATCATCTCATGGAAAGGAATTAATAATCTAACTAAACACTGATTTTTCTCATTTAAGATTTTTATTTTAGTTTAGGGCAATTTAATGCTAAGCACAATTAAAGAGTTAACAGACAGGTTGTGATTTTGATTTTTTAAATAATGTTTGAATTAATGAATTACATGTTCCCAAATATGAAAATACGATACCATTCAGTTAAAAGCCATTTTTCCACAGATAAAAATGTAGGTCAGATTTGATTTGATTTGAAATCAAATCAATCAATTACAATTATGTTATATATATCATAATTGTAATTTATACATATATATATGTTAATTCAAATTTAGTGGTTAAAAGAAAAAAGCCAATATTTAATATTCATTGGTGGGCCAAAATAAGACTTTTTGGGAACCAAAACAATAAATTCTGTGACCTCAAATAAGGCAATCTGATTGATTTCTAAACATAAACATCATTCATAAATAGTTTTCTGAAATATTTTATCGTCCTGAAAGTGTAAAGTTGCCAAACAAAATAATAACTATACACACTGACACACAAAAATGTCGGTACAGTTCTGAGACAGGGTTTATAATGAATTCTATATAAGAGTTAGACAAATTAAATGGCTAACATCTCCAAAGAAAGGCAATAGGCTTGGATCCTGCCCAGGAAGTATTTTTGTTTTTAGAGAAGCAAACATCACTTTTTGACTAATTTAAAGTTTACGAGTTAACATCACCATTAAAATTGCTTTCGTAGAGGAAGGCAAGATAAATCTCAGTTCCTGGACAAGTTGGGGGTCACTGTTGCCATGGGCACTGGGTATATGTATCAAATGCCACCAAAGAGAGGAAGATAAAAACTGCCGTGCATCCGGTTCTAGAAATCTATAATTAATGTAAATTTCACCTATCTGAGGTAGATTTTCAGATTTAGATAAGTTCAGAAAATTTAAATTCCATTCAGGCACCTTTTTCATATGAAGTTTAATGAGGGCAGGAGTCAACAAGTAAAAGAAAGGTCAATAGTAAAGATTTCTGTAGAAATAACCACTTTTTCTTCAAAATACATACTTTACAAAAAATATTCAAAAAGCACTTTGAAACATGTTCTAATTCTAGAACACATAAGCCTGTAAACTCAGGCAGGCAGGGTTTCACTATCAATTCTTATCCTCCTCATATATTATCAAGATAGTTGAGTTTTAGCAAAAAGTCTGTGGATTAATACTAGTCTCTATACTGGTGGATGCAAGCAGTAAATATTTAAAAAGCATAAGTGTTAAAAGTTAAAATGAAGCTTCACATGAAAGTAAAATATGACAAATTTAAACCTTTTAGAGGTGTGTAAATGTGCAATATATTGCTTTATATTATTTATAAATACTATTTATAAGACATTTACAAATTATTTTTATATTTATATTATTAACTATAGAAATTGACAAACATATATTTCATAAAATGTCTTTCTGTATTTTTTTTTAAGATTTTCCCAAAGGATACACAAACTAAATCTGATTTTATTACAAACCTACGCTGGGGCAAACACATTGTGATTGTTTTTTATAGTCCCAAATGCTTCAAGGTCCCTCAGCACTATTTCTGTCCAAAGAAATTTATCAGTTTTATCCTTTCTATTTTTCAAAGTTAATATAATATTAATACATAAAGCCAATTTTAATAATGGTTTATTAGAGCCTATCTGCTGAGGAGATAGGGAATTCTATTCTCCAATGTCTATTTTCATTTAAATATCACACAGGAGAATATCCACAAAGTAATCAGATTGGCAAAATTTGATGCTAGAAAAAGGATAAGAGAAGTACACAAGAATAATTTTAATTTACACCTGTACTTAGAAACAAATATTCTGTAGTACAATAAAAATTATTTTGAATAACCAGGAAAGTGTAACAGTAAAAGACTGACTTTTTTCTCTTGGAAAACACACGAAGTACTTTGTGGTCACATAGGAGAGTTTAAAAGAAAATTCAATCATGAGTTAAGATTCAGGGATTTTATTATTGCATTACAGTTTCCTATAGGAAATTCTTTTCTAAATTTAAGTGGTTGTTTTCCCAAAAATGGCTTCTAGGTAGCTCATCTTGCAATGAAATTGCACTATTTTATATAATGTCATCAACTCAGTCTAAACCCATTTTGTGTGGAACTCTTCCAACTCTTTTTGCTGTAAATGATATCCTTTTGAAGTTACAGTCTAAGATCTTCCTGAATATTTCTGTAACATCTTATGCCATCAGTTTTGTGTTTTCTTCCCTCTAGAGCTGGTCTTTCCTAAGCACATAGCTAAGCTTCAGGTGATGGAACAATAAGGATAAACCACTTCCAACAATAAGTTACATCCTGGTTACACATTCTAAACAACAAAAACAAAACAAACCAAAAAAACAATTTTATTGTTGGTGATGATGTTTTTATATTTCCTCACAAGTAAATTTTTCCTGCTTCTTTTTATTTTTGCTATTCTTCTCCCTCCAAATTACTTCAGTAATTCCACTCACAGACTGAATACACAAATAGACAATGACCAAACCATGTGTGATGACAAACTATGACCCAGAAGCTCTGGAGTGAGCACCTCAGGAAGCCAAACACAATCTCAGCAGGCAATCTACCCAAAACAATCAGGATTCATCCTATTACTTCCAGTTTCCCAATTTTTTGCCACCCTCCAAATCAGAACCAGCCAGAGAAAGTCAAATGTGCCCCCCAAAACCCATTATCTAGGTGCCCTGCTTTGTTAGACCAACTCCAGTTTCCTCATGCCAGCAATCTCCAATCACAGCACACCTGAGGTCTTCATTTCTTTCCACTATGAAACTTTTCCACTCCCCTGCTTGCCTTTGAATCCCTGTTTAATGCAAGTGATGAAGGCTGTCTCCCTTCCTGTAGTAAGTTCTGAATAGTAACTTCCACTTGTTCTCATTTGGGTGAGCTTTGTTTATTTCCATACTGTAACTTGTAAGGACAAAAAAGGAACATTTATAAATAGAATGTTGAGTTTTACTGTTTAATGTAATACTGGAAGGTCAGAGAGTTTTTAATTGTGCCATGAATGGGGCCAGATTTACCACTGAAGCAATGTGGATCCTTACAATTTCCGACTTCAGGGTGACCTTCTGCAATCTAAAATCCTTTACCCACTTGAAACATTGACCCATGACCCCAACCCACTGATCCCTTGACTATTGTCTTTCCCTGTCCTCATGTTGGAGGTATAGAGCAAAGCTAGGAAAAGCAACAAACTGTGCTACAGGAAAATAACTCTGCATCAGACACTTGAGTAAGCGTTCTGTGTGAAGTATCTCATAATTTCCATAAAGATTCTTTATTCATTCAACAGTCAACAAATATTTCTTGAGTACATACTTTGTCCTCAAGACAAAGGATACTTTGCAAAGCCTTAATATATAGTAGTGGAAAAGGGAGCATATATTTTCCATCTAGTAGGTCTTGCACTCTGGCTAGGGAGATAGCCCTTTTATAAAGTTCACGTGAATAAATAATTGTGTACTTTGATAGAGTCAGAAATTAAAAAGGGCAGAGCATTAGGAGAAATTTAAACTTGATTAGAGACTTAGAGGAGGCCTATCTAAGGAAGTAATATTTAAGATGATACTACCAGGATGAGTAAGAGTTCCCCAGGCAAAGGAACTGGGAATGGATATTCCTGGCTGGGAAAACTGTTTCTATTACTCTATGCCAAAGTGATAAGAAAACTTTGTTTTCTTGAGGAAATGAGAAAAAAAAAAAAACCCTCTGTAGGTAGGGCAGAAGAAAATATCTGAGAACATGATGACATGATGAGAGGTCACTGGTGCTTTGGATTTTATTCAAAACACAATGAGAATCTATGAAAGCATTTAAACAGAGGGATGACAGGGGTCAATTTCCTTTTAAAAATATCTGCCTGGCTGCTGTGGTTTAGGGAATGGATTATAACAGAATTGAAGAGAGAGGCTTGTGGGAATTCCAATGTAGTTGTACAGTTGAAAGGTACTATGGTTATGATTCAGCAACGGATGTGGTGAGAGATGAATGGATTCTAAACATATTTTGAAAGTAGAATACACTATATGATCCTTGAACTGACCAGAAGAATTCAAGCTTGGAAAATCACTTATTCTGTTTTCCTTTTCCTGTTCCTGAGTGCTCAATACCAGCCTCTCATAAGCAAAAGTATTGCCTGAACTAGGCAAAGTCTGTAATAGTACCTACTGTCTTTCCCCCTTCTTGCCCTCCCCTCCTCCATTGAAGGCACTGCCATGGTCCCAGAGAGCTTGTTTGCACAGAAGTGGCTGGCTGTGTATACAGTATCGGTGATCTTTTTGGGACCACAGTGAATTGGGCTGGGTTCCAATTAAGGCTTCTGTTATAATAGAGTAGAAAGAATTCATTTGATCTATGGACACCATCTAAGTAGAAAGGATGCCCATCTCCACTCCAGGCTCAGACACTTGAGCATGGCCCACCTTTTCCCATTCATCAGAAGCATACTGGTTTCTTCCTGGTTTATCTGCTCCACAGTTGTAAACAACAGAAGCATAGACTTCCTTCCTGTTAACTGTTTTCATCCTGAAGTTCATGTTTCCGAACATTATGTAAAATCTATCATGTCAGTGACATAAAAACAAAATGACCTTCTTTTCAGCACTTATTACTGCCCAATCTTATAATTTTATAAGTCTAATGAGTCTATTTATTATTGGCAGGTTTCCTCTATTAGATTATAACCTTCATGAGGGCATAAAACAGACATTCCTTCCATATTTGTTAGAAGATTAACCTACTAAATGAAGTGTGCTGGTCTAAGATGACCAAGACAGAATGAGAATGAAGAAAAGGCAATAGGCATGAGAAGAGGGATAAACCTAGCACTTTACATGTTTTCCTTCTTTATTTTTGTCTCTCAGTCATGATAGAACATAATTGTTAAATTTTAACGATTAAAATTTCTAGCATCAATTTATTTCAAGATGGTACTTCCGGGTTCTTTTAGAGGCCATAGTATTCTCACTTCAGACTGTCCAAGAGGGCAGCCCTTTGCCCTGCACTTTTTTTTTTTTTTAAGGTGATGAATTTGGCACAGAGAAGTTCGGTGGCAGGATGAAGTTCACATGCTTAGTTTTGATAGAATTGGAACTGAAATTCAAGCCTCTTGGATCACCATCTATTGGCCCTTCTAAACTGTGAATTCCATCAGGGTAGGGATGCTGTCTTTTCCATCTATGGGTTGGTAACTATACTTTCTAGGCAGAAAAAAAGTCAAGTCAATAACACTCAGTCATCATGAGGCAGATAACTGCTGTTGCCTCATGATTCAGTGTAAGACGCTGTGTTTTAGAGAGATTAATAAATTTGTCCACAAAAAGTAAAGGGCAGAGTGAGAATTTGAGCCAAAATATCTCTGAATCTAGACCTTGAGCTGTAAACTATTCTACTAAATTTAAAATGAGGACTTTTTGCTACTTAGCAGCATTTTGTTCCTTCTAAGTCAAAATCAAGTCTGTCAAAATGGAATTTTCAATTTTTCTTAAGAACCGACTAAACTTTACCGCTGTCCTTTAGCTGATGAGTTCATGTACAAATTTTCAAGGATATTGAAAACATGTGATGTGAACTTTTTGCTCCCTTTCTCTTTAACTTACCTCCACCCATCCTCGGTACCTTATCTGTCTTTTCAGGGGAAGGTTTATGCCAGTTTATTTCTACTAGTAATTCCCCTACTTGCTAATTCATTTTCCAATATTTGAGTTATGCTTTTATCCCTGGTATCTCCCTTTTCCTACCTGGCTCCTCCATTTCTCCTTAAAAACATAGTCCAAATGCTTTGCTAGTCTTTGAACTAACAACATTGCTGATGGTTCAGTTAATGCCTTCTGTCACAAACTGTTTACTCATCTCCACTTCCTATTAGAATGGTTTTAAATTCATGGCCTCATACTAAAATTATTCTAAACTATATTATCTTCCCAAGTAACCCATAGCCTTCAGGGCTATTCTTTCTTTAAACTCACATTGTGTTCTAATACCCTGCAAATATCTTGGACATGGTATCTATGTTATGACTAAAATCTAGCATTTTAGCTTTATTTGTATGTGTATGTGTGTAATGATAAAATCAAACGCTATGTTTGTGTTTCCCCATACTTCTACTTCCTTCTAAAATGACTGATTTTCTAACAATCAATAATTCAACATATTCAAAGGCTAATTCTAAGTACTCAATTGACTATGACTCTTGATTAATTATATCTTTTATCAGAAATTATATTTTTATTGGTCTTTTGAAAGCTTGAAACATATAGCTTTTGATTGTATTTATTTACAAATATGTATTATCTTATCACTGTACATGAAAAGCCCCTTGAGGATAAGGACTGAACATAATTAATTCAGCAAAATGAATTTTCAGATTTTAGAAAATAATATAAAATATTTATGAAATCTCAGAGCAACCTGAACAACTCACACTGGTTTACCTTGCTTATCAGTGTGATAGATCATCATATGTACTTGATAACCATTATATTCAGGCGTATCTGTAAGCCACAATGGAGCACAGAGAAAATTTTGTAATGTTTCATTTATTTTGAATTCAAGACAGGAATGGATCTATGGTAATATGAAGAGCACTGCCATTTTATGCAGATGTATTGAAATGTCAGCAATGGTCCAAATTCCTCCTAGTGATTTCGATATTTCATAAATAAATAAATAAAGTAATAACATCTCCAGTAAACAGTAAGATAAACTCCTCACGAGCTTACTGAATTCTACCATTATCAACTCCAGTCTTGGACACAGACTAATTTTCTCATCTGGAGAGTGAGACAGTTAGGAAGGGACTGTCTCATGAATATTTGGGTTCCAGTTTATTATAAAATATTCCTGACTTTGCTTGGTCTTCACAAAGTGTACAGTTTGAAATCCTCAGTGGCAGGAGGTAACAGCTCTATCAGTTTGAGTCATCAGTTGGTCATAATGTATTTAAAACTGTCTTGGGGACACTATCAAAAATGCAATTTTACTCTGTCCTGGATGGTTTGAATCAGCATTCAAATATGCTGTTATCTTCCAGACTAAGAAAGCCCTTCGTAGGTCTCAGCTTTCCTCTTCAGTTTCTGTCTAGAAATAAAGCTGCATGTTTCATTGCTGGGTGAAATATAAGATAGCTTACTATCTTCAAAGCAATATTATCTCAGTCACATATAATTTTTCTCAAGTTCTTATTTTAATAAGATCTAATAAGATTTAATAACATCTAAATAACATATAAAAAGATTTAATATCTCTTGTCAATTATCAATGAATCTATCAGAAAAATATCTAAATACATACATTATGTATTTAAGAAAACTCACACTAAAATATTCATTAAGTAGGCACATACCCACATTCTTTGGGTGTTTTACCACAATCCCTAGCAATAAAATCAAGTAAGATAGATCCAGTGTGGTATGTTACATTTATGTATATACCCTAGTTACTGTGCATACATGAATTCAAATATTTCACTTAAATATGACTCAAAAAATAGAAACATACTTTTATATTTAATTTCTTAATGGCCTGCTCCAAGTTGGAAAGTCTATGCAACCATAAGTGATTATAAGCTGCATGTATAAAGACCCATATTAAACCAAATATTTTCTAATTGCTATATTAAACCTTAAGACTAATTAACATTATATGCACTTCAAACATTATATGCATCAGAAAAATCTCTAGTTAGAAAATAAAATATAAAATTGTCTTAAGATACCCTTTATCCTTGAATCCTAATTGTCAATTATTATATTCAATATAATGAATTAACTATTTATTTTTAGAGTTACTCAATAAAGTTAAATGTCAATGAAATGTGACTACAACAGAGAATATTTGTCTTCTTTGAGATATGTTTCATTTAGTAATTAAAGCAAATAAGCTCACTGAAATACCTTTTCTAGACCTTCTTCCTTCAGACTGATCACATCCAAATCAAAATCTGTTCTCAAGCCATTGGTTTTGTTGAAAGTTATTCTGCCTGTGAGGCCTTCCCAATGTGCCTATGGGAATAGAAAAACATTGATAATAAATAAGTGAAGAAAGATGGAATAAACATTTTTTCACAAAAGTAGGAAACTTATATTCATTACTTTTCAGTTTACATTGCTAGAGATTTTTAAAATATTTTAATTTTCTTCTGAAATTTGAAAAATGTTTTTCTACATAAATTATCCTAGTTTCAGCAGAAAATTTACTATAAATTTTTCATTTTATACAATGCATTTTCCAGTTACAATTTTCTGTCTAGGAGACATTGTATTATTATGTTTTAAGTAGTGTACCTCTTTAACTAAAGTGAGAAGAATTTAGTTACTTTTTATGGTGTATGAGATATTAAATATCTCACTGGCAAATACAGTTAGAACTACTGTTATAAAATCCCACTACTAAATTCATAATAACATGAAAAGGAACTTATTACAATAAGAGAAACTGAATCCAGGAAAAGCTATGTTATACTAACTCAATTATATACATTCCCCCTAGCTTTCCACTAAGTAAGGGCAAGGGAAATGTATTATAATTACTTCATATCAAGATATACTTCATGGAGGAGATGGGAATATAATAATCTAGCTGTATAATATGTTCAACCCTAAAAGGTGAGTAAATATCTGGACTTTTTTAACGTAAAAAGTTTTCCCATTCTGTTGGTTATAGAACCACAATTAGATGTTTTCCATTGTTTGTCATTTGGAAATAGCTTAGGAAAAAGTAGTTAAATACAGAAATTTTCAATTATAAAATGTATACTCACAACTAAAATGTTTAAAATAATATAACCAAGACCCAAAAGAAGTAAATATCAGTAGATTAAGGGTAATATTTCAATAAGGATTTGAAATTAATATTACTAAATTTCTGAGGCTCCATATGATATTTGGATACTTATGTGCAAGATTCTTAGTTTTCAGCTAATAAATTACAAATGAAATAGAAAAAGTTTAATACATATTCATAAACATATTGCAACATGTCTTTGCTAAAGTTAAACATGTGTTCACTGGTTTGGAATAAGGAAGAAAAAAATATTTTTAGCCTAATGGCTTCCAAAGAAAAACTTTCAAGTGACTAACCAAAATGGACAATAGTATAAAAGTAAACAAAAAGATCAAGAAGTACAAGAATAGAAGTGTAAAACAGAAGAACAAATCTGGGGTAGAGAGAGCATAAAGAAATGTATACCAGGTGAAATTGCACAAGTAATTTTATCACAAATTCAATTCTGAACTTCCTAGCAACCAAAACAAAGAAGAAAATATGATAAAAACACAATATACAGGGTCTATAATTTAAGACATACCAGCTGCTCAGGAGAAAGAGCTTTTCCTGGCACTGAGACCTGAGAGAAATTTCTCCTGTTGGTCCTCATAAGGGGGACACTGTGTGATTTAGTGGACAAGATTCTCAATTACACCCTACAATAAATACAATGGGGAATGTCATACAACTGCTTCTTTTAGGGCTGCTTGACACGTCATTGTTTCAATAATCTAGTGCTGAGTTCAGAAAAATCAATTCTTCATCTCGCCAGACCTGTGGACTGTGTCTACAGCTCACTAAGTTTCAGTTTTAAACCAGAAGTAAATGTTAGAATATGGGGCAACTAATAAACTGCATATTCTTCGAAACTATTAATTCATCTACCTGAGAGTTTGATAAGAATTAGACAAAGAAAATTCATGGATATTCAGAGATACTTAATTATGATCCTATTTGCACTTTTATTTTCATGATGAATAATTTATTACAAGATGAACTGATGATTTATTTTAAGCCATTAATAAAAAATTTCATATGGTAATAATACCTGTGATATTTCATTGCAAAGATTAAGGCACAGTTAAACTTTCATCTATGAAAAGTATTCTAAGTTAACAAAGGACTTTCTTTTTTGACAGGAAAAATATATACGTATACATATTTGTATATATATGCATGTATATATGTATGTATGTATGATCTTCAAAAACTTTTTCTCACTATGAATATTCTTGATCTATAACAGACATAGTCAGAAATGATATATGGTCATAAGAATGGTTGCATTATATAACATGGAGTAAATTTTGCACTTTGATTAATCCATACATTCTATTTTTGTTAATTGTAAATATAATTTAAATAACTAGACATATTTAGGAACAATTAATCTGAATAACTATACTTGAAGCCTCACAAATTAGGTATAATTTTGCTGTAGTGCAAATGACATTTATGTTAAAAATGCATTTTATATTTTGTTGCCTAAAATATAAACATTCCTTTATTAATCTATATCTCTACATAAAGGAAAAGTAATAAAGATTCAGAAAGGTAAATGCTAACCCTCATAGATACTTTGATAGATATTTTGTTTCCCCTCACCTTTCATTTGGTATTATTTAGTAAAAATGTTAATTTTGCTTATTTGGAGTAAGAGAGAAAATTTAAATTAAACATAAAGTAAAAGGACACTTGCTAGAAAAACCACAATAATCTCACTTCATTCAGCTTGACAACAAAAGAGACAAGGCAGATGTTCTTCTCCTAACTTACCTCTTTAATTAGACTCATAAAGCGGGTCCCGAAGCGCCAGGGTTTATGTCGATTACACTGCAAGGAACTGACTGTCATCTGGGGAAACTGTTGAACGGCCACAGACACCACATGCACAGCATCATACATTAGAGCAGCATCAGTCTGAAAAGCAAGGGAAAGGGAAATTTATAGTCAATATAACTTGTAGAACTTGTGGTAGATGGTTTGCAAGGAGGAAGAGGGAAGAGGTAAGGGAAATATATATCCCATTTTTCTTTGTATAAAGAAGAAAACGTTATCTCTAACATGCTCTCGTTCTCTTAAACAAGACATTATGATCAAATTACTACATCAGCTCCATAAGAAAATTTGACCTACCCTCCTTTTCCTGAAATAACCCAATTACATATAGTCCTAGTACTGCCGTTGAAGTAGGACATGTATGAAGACAGGCTTTATTTCCTTTTTGTCACTATCTCTGATTCTTACTCTGTCTCACTTATACACACACACACACACACACACACACACAATGAGTACATTGCTAACATTTTTAATGGTCACATAAATTACATATTCTATATAAAAGTAAGTAAACAGTTTCCTTTTATAGGAAGAAACCAAGATTTTAAGGGAGACTTACTTAAAACCTTAAATTCTTTCATTGTTTTAATCTTTTAGCTTTAAAAAGATATAAACCCTGATCTTTTTCTTCAACTTAAATTTTCAAAAGTTTCAATCTCAGAAATGATGGTAGTTTTGAATCTCAATAGCTGTATTACCCGCTTTTCAAGAAACTAAGCTTAATCTCTTGTACGGTTTCCTTTCCCCAAGATTTCCATATGAATAAAAGTTCATTTGGCTTCTCAGGTAAAACAAATATGAATTCTACTGTGTTTGCACCTGCTCAAATGACCAACCACTTTGGAGGTTGATGATAAAAAAATAAAATGTTTATAAGTCATAACAAAACAGAGGCTCAGTGATTTTCAAGTGCTGTGTTAAATGGACCCTCACTCTGTGTTTGACAGATCGATGCCAGGCTTACTACCTAGAAAAGACAGCCACACTGACAATGCTCCTAGTAATGAACTTTGGCCATCTGCTTGGCATGCTTTAGAATAAAAGCATATATTTCCTCTTCTCATTCACACAATTAGTGAGCTGTGAAATGAATAGGAACCCTGTAGATTACAGCATTTGCCACAATACAATACAAAATGAGTATACACAGTAGCTTTCAACCAAATGGATCCTAAGGAGCTATACCACATAAAATGGAAGATGGCTAAAGAGCACAATGCAATAAGAGAACATAATAATATTATTTTATAGTTCATAAATCTCTTGGGAAAATAACTCAGATTCCAAACCTTCATTTTATAAATTCTACTGACTATTTTCACATACCCTGAAGGATGCATAGTGAAAACTAGTAGTGTTCATTGAGGCATACATCCTGAGCCTGAGGATTTGACTGATATTTGTCTCTGACCCGAGTTAATATTCAGAGGACATATTACATATATTACACAGGTAGTCACAAAAATCATCAACAGAATTGGGAAGATACATTTTGAGCGTTTTAAAATATATAACTGTCAACAGAAAGGGTAATTTTGCAGCACAAAACGTAAGAGAGCCTTAAAAATATTTATGTTTATTTTAACCCAGTAATTCCTCTTTCTGGAATTAGCATTAAGAAAATCGGAGCTAAGAATGAAGGCTACATATCCATTGTTTTGTTTTTAGAAAAAAAAAAAAAAAGAGTGGAAATCTACTGAATGACCAAAATAGGGAAATTTCTAAATAAATTCACGATGTTTTCTTATATAAGCACTAAAAAATCATGTTTTGAAAAATACTCAACTAGATGGAAATTAAATACATCTTAAATGGTGTTGTGTTAAATTAGATTTAGATTATACAGAACTGCATTTCCAGCATAAATCATTTTATATATATAAATGTATAAATAATGGTTTTATATATAATATATAATGGTTTCATATATTATATATAGTATGTAATATATAATATATAATATATAAAACCATTATTAATATATAACCATTATTTTATATATAATATAAACTATTATATGTAATATATACATAAAAAAAATATATAATGGTTTATTATGGAAATACAGCATAATATATATTTACTTTATAAATATATGTACAGATAATATATATTTATAGAGTAATATGAAGTATTACCTTATAAAGCAATATATATTTATAAATTAAATAGAATATCTAAAATACACATGCATGTATACTTATATATGGGTAATTAATATATTTACTTTATTCTCTGAATAATAGTATAATAAAAAATCTATTGTTAACATTTTATAAATAACAAAACCAAGGTTGGGAAAAGTGAAGAACTAATTGAAATCACACAGCTAACAAGTGGGGAAGCCCACCCTCCCTGTTCAGGAATGCTTTTGGCCACCACTACATACTATATAAACAACAAAAACAAGAAAACACAATAAAATAATAATGTTTAACTCTTGTGAATTAATCATGAGTAAAATTTTTATTTCATATTTTCCACAGTTTTTAAGATTAACACGTAATGTATGAGGAAGATTACAAAAACTATAGCAGTTATTGCCAAGATAAAAATGTTGATCTATTATGGAAAAAATAACTAAAAGAATACAATCTATAATATTTCTAATTCCAAGTTTTCATGAAAATTGCTTTTCATGACTTACTGACATATAGATAATCTAACAGGACATACATAAAAATCCTAGAGTAGTAACCTTATTTAATATGACAATGCTAGAAAATAATTTTGCCTAATTAAAAATCAAAAAATCTTTTCTGGTATATAGTTTCAGTTTCAAGATCAGGACACAGTAGTTGCTAATAAAACTCTTTGAAATCTGTTATTTTAAGTACAATTATAAAAATTAGATAATATTATTAAACTATAAGATAAATATAGCTGGGCACAGTGGCACACATCTGTAGCCCAGCTACTTGGAAGGGTAAGGTAAGAGGATCACTTGAGCCCTGAAGTTTGAGCCCAGTCTGGGCAAAATGGTGAGACTACTGTCTGTAACAATAAAATATAAATCCTTGAGAAAAAGGTACAAGTAATCTAAAAGTCGCTGATCAAACTACTTCTGGATTTCCCAGTTTAAAATATCTTTACTTATAAATCAATAAACAGAACTTCTGAAATACTTTCTATGATATTTTCTCCAGTTTGGGGTACTTTTTGGTTTTAATTTTAGACTAGTTGTTTTGGTGATATTATGTAGATTTTTCTATTTATATTTAATATCTTGTCAGATTAAACTATTGTCTTCTTTGTAAAATTGTGTGTCTATAAATCTCCTTCCTTTGAAAAACCGTGTGAAAATTCTAGTGCTTCAGAAATGTGGTTTCTCTTATTCTCACAAGAATGCTCACAAAAATGTGCCTTCTCTTATTCTCACAAATATGTGAAAATCTGTCTTCTATTAATAATATTAATAGCCAACATTCATTCAATATCTGTGTGTGAGGCACTCTCCTTAAATTAATTCCTTTAATTTCCATAACCATTATTCAGGTGCAATCCCATCAAGTATGTGTCAAATAGGAAACCAAGGCAGACAGCAGCTAAGTAACTCAAAAAACAAACCATAGCATATAGACGTAGAGCTGGATTTAATCCATATAATCTGTCCAAAGTTTATATCCTTTTCTCTGGGTTTCTCACTCAACACTCTATGGTTAATAAGCAAAGTAGTGAAGGTGGTTTTGTAGTTACACAATGTAACAAATGTCAACAAGCACTTGAATGCATAAATCTCTATATAATTTTTTCATAAATACATAATGAAAATGCACTGCAAAATAAGAAAAGGTAGAGATTATAGAAAACTGGTAAATGCATATTTGTAAAAAAGAAATACATTGTTATACCTGGGGCATGGAGATTGCCCTGTCCTATTCACCACAGCCTATTCCCATGCACCCATCAGGGGACACTAAGGGCAGGCCCACACCCCTGGCACTATCCCCCAAGTACCCAAGCATGCCACCCAGGGACCTGAGAACAGCCCTGCCTTGTTCACCACTGCTGGTGTCCGTGCACTTCTCCTGAGGGCTGGTCCATCCAGCCTGTTGCAGGCACTGCAAACACCAGTATGTGATGCCTGAGAGTCCAAGGGTGGTCCCACCATCACTACTGCTATTTCTCATGCCATGCATACTGCTTAGGGGCCCAGGAATTCACCACACACATGCCCACTGCTGCCACTACTGAACCGAAGCAAGCTTCCTGGAGGCCCAACAATTGGCCCACCTGAGCCCACTAACACACGTGCCCTTGTATGCCACACAGGAGCCTAAAGACAGGCACACTTAGCCCACTGATAACACCACTGGGCCTCAGGACTGAACTACCTGGCACTCCTACACCCAGTAAAATTTCAACACAGTCTCCACTAATAATCACAGTCTAAGAAACGGAAATCACAGACACCACTGATGCTGTAAAAATCATATGAGGACTATGCTACTGCTAACCCTATAATCAAAGCGAAAGTGCCCCCTCAACCAATACCATAGATAAATCCATAGGAAAAATTTTCCCTTATGAAAATCCATCCAAAAAAATTGAAAAAAGCTGGCCGGGTATGGTGGCTCACATCTGTAATTCCAACACTTTGGGAGGCCGAGGTGGATGGATCACCTGAAGTCAGGAGTTTGAGGCCAGCCTAAACAACATGATGAAACCTGGTCTCTACTAAAAATACAAAAGTTAGTGGGTCATGGTAGCTGTGGGCCTGTAATTCCAGCTACTTGTGAGGCTAAGGCAGGAGAATGGCTTGAACCCGGGAGGCAGAAGTTGCAGTCAGCCAAGATGGCGCCACTGCATTCCAGACTGGGTGACAAAGTGAGACTCCGTCTCAAAAAAAAAAAAAAAAATTGAAACAAGCAACTATTACACAAAATGTGTAGATATCAACATAAGGACAGAAAAGGACACAAGAAATAAAAAATCCAGGAAGTATGACACCTCTAAAGGAGCACAATAATTATTCAGCAAAATATTCAGTGAAAAATAGATCTATGAAATGCCTGAAAAAAGATTCAAAATAATTATAGCAAAGAAGCTCAATGAGACACAGAGAACACAGAAAAACAATACAAAGAAAAAAAAATCAGGATATTAATGAAAAGTTCCATAAAGAGATAGACATCATATAAAAGAACCAAACAAATTCTGGAACCACTACAGAAAACCACTAAACCGCAATGATAAACAATAAGAGAGAAAGAAGGGAACAAACGATATACAAAACAAACAAAAACAATTAAAGAATAATAACCTTTGATATAAACACAATAAGGTGTTCATTTGAAAGATATGACTAGCTGAATGGATTTTTTTAATGACCCAACTATATACTGCCTACAAGAAATTCATCTCGGGGAGAAGCCAAGATGACCGAATAGGAACAGCTCCGGTCTACAGCTCCCAGCGTGAGCGACGCAGAAGAGGGGTGATTTCTGCATTTCCATCTGAGGTACCGGGTTCATCTCACTAGGGAGTGCCAGACAGTGGGCACAGAACAGCAGTGCAGTGCACTGTGCGCGAGCCGAAGCAGGGCGAGGCATTGCCTCACTCAGGAAGCGCAAGGGGTCAGGGAGTTCCCTTTCCTGGTCAAGGAAAGGGGTGACAGACAGCACCTGGAAAACCAGGTCACTCCCACCCGAATACTGCGCTTTTCTGACGGGCTTAGGAAATGGCGCACCAGGAGATTATATCCTGCACCTGGCTCGGAGGGTCCTACGCCCATGGAGTCTCGCTGATTGCTAGCACAGAAGTCTGAGATCAAACTGCAACGCGGCAGGGAGGCTGGGAGAGGGGCGCCCACCATTGCCCAGGCTCACTTAGGTAAACAAAGCAGCCAGGAAGCTTGAACTGGGTGGAGCCCACCACAGCTCAAGGAGGTCTGCCTGCCTCTGTAGGCTCCACCTCTGGGGGCAGGGCACAGACAAACAAAAAGACAGCAGTAACCTCTGCAGACTTCAATGTCCCTGTCTGACAGCTTTGAAGAGAGCAGTGGTTCTCCCAGCAGGCAGCTGGAGATCTGAGAACGGGCAGACTGCCTCCTCAACTGGGTCCCTGACCCCTGACCCCCGAGCAGCCTAACTGGGAGGCACCCCCCAGTAGGGGCAGACTGACACCTCACATGGCGAGATACTCCTCTGAGACAAAACTTCCAGAGGAACGATCAGACAGCAGCATTCGCGGTACAAGAAAATCTGCAGTTCTGCAGACACTGCTGCTGATACCCAGGCAAACAGGGTCTGGAGTGGTCCTCTAGCAAACTCCAACAGACCTGCAGCTGAGGGTCCTGTCTGTTAGAAGGAAAACTAACAAACAGAAAGGACATCCACACCAAAACCCATCTGTACATCACCATCATCAAAGACCAAAAGTAGATAATACCACAAAGATGGGGAAAAAACAGAGCAGAAAAACTGGAAACTCTAAAAAGCAGAGCACCTCTCCTCCTCCAAAGGAACGCAGTTCCTCACCAGCAACAGAACAAAGCTGGATGGAGAATGACGTTGACAAGTTGAGAGAAGAAGGCTTCAGATGATCAAACTACTCCGAGCTACAGGAGGAAATTCAAACCAAAGGCAAAGCAGTTGAAAACTTTGAAAAAAATTTAGACGAATGTATAAATAGAATAAACAATACAGAGAAGTGCTTAAAGGAGCTGACGGAGGTGAAAGCCAAGGCTCGAGAACTGCGTGAAGAATGCAGAAGCCTCAGGAGCCGATGCGATCAACTGGAAGAAAGGGTATCAGTGATGGAAGATGAAATGAATGAAATGAAGCGAGAAGGGAAGTTTAGAGAAAAAAGAATAAAAAGAAATGAACAAAGCCTCCAAGAAATATGGGACTATGTGAAAAGACCAAATCTACATCTGATTGGTGTACCTGAAAGAGACGGGGAGAATGGAACCAAGTTGGAAAAAACTCTGCAGGATATTATCCAGGAGAACTTCCCCAACCTAGCAAGGCAGGCCAACATTCAGATTCAGGAAATACAGAGAACACCACAAAGATACTCCTCGAGAAGAGCAACTCCAAGACACATAATTGTCAGATTTACCAAAGTTGAAATGAAGGAAAAAATGTTAACGGCAGCCAGAGAGAAAGGTCGGGTTACCCTCAAAGGGAAGCCCATCAGACTAACAGCGGATCTCTCGGCAGAAACTCTACAAGCCAGAAGAGAGTGGGGGCCAATATTCAACATTCTTAAAGAAAAGAATTTTCAACCCAGAATTTCATATCCAGCCAAACTAAGCTTCATAAGTGAAGGAGAAATAAAATACTTTACAGACAAGCAAATGCTGAGAGATTTTGTCACCACCAGGCCTGCTCTAAAAGAGCTCCTGAAGGAAGCACTAAACATGCAAAGGAACAACCAGGACCAGCCACTGCAAAATCATGCCAAAACGTAAAGACCATCGAGACTAGGAAGAAACTGCATCAACTAATGAGCAAAATAACCAGCTATCATCATAATGACAGGATCAAATTCACACATAACAATATTAACTTTAAATGTAAATGGGCTAAATGCTCCAATTAAAAGACACAGACTGGCAAATTGGATAAAGAGTCAAGACCCATCAGTGTGCTGTATTCAGGAAACCCATCTCACGTGCAGAGACACACATAGGCTCAAAATAAAAGGATGGAGGAAGATCGACCAAGCAAATGGAAAACAAAAAAAGGCAGGGGTTGCAATCCTAGTCTCTGATAAAACAGACTTTAAACCAACAAAGATCAAAAGAGACAAAGAAGGCCATTACATAATGGTAAAGGGATCAATTCAACAAGAAGAGATAACTATCCTAAATATATATGCACCCAATACAGGAGCACCCAGATTCATAAAGCAAGTCCTGAGTGACCTAAAAAGAGACTTAGACTCCCACACAATAATAATGGGAGACTTTAACACCACACTGTCAACATTAGACAGATCAACGAGACAGAAAGTTAACAAGGATACCCAGGAATTGAACTCAGCTCTGCACCAAGCGGACCTAATAGCCATCTACAGAACTCTCCACCCCAAATCAACAGAATATACATTTTTTCAGCACCACACCACACCTATTCCAAAATTGACCACATACTGGGAAGTAAAGCTCTCCTCAGCAAATGTAAAAAAAAAGAAATTATAACAAACTGTCTCTCAGACCACAGTGCAATCAAACTAGAACTCAGGATTAAGAAACTCACTCAAAACCGCACAACTACATGGAAACTGAACAACCTGCTCCTGAATGACTACTGGGTACATAACGAAATGAAGGCAGAAATAAAGATCTTCTTTGACACCAATGAGAACAAAAACACAACATACCAGAATCGCTGGGACACATTCAAAGCAGTGTGTAGAGGGAAATTTATAGCACTAAATGCCCACAAGAGAAAGCAGGAAAGATCCAAAATTGACACCCTAACATCACAATTAAAAGAACCAGAAAAGCAAGAGCAAACACATTCAAAAGCTAGCAGAAGGCAAGAAACAACTAAAATCAGAGCAGAACTGAAGGAAATAGACACACAAAAAACCCTTCAACAAATTAATGAATCCAGGAGCTGGTTTTTTGAAAGGATCAACAAAATTGATAGACTGCTAGCAAGACTAATAAAGAAAAAAAGAGAGAAGAATCAAATAGACGCAATAAAAAATGATAAAAGGGATATCACCACCGATCCCACAGAAATACAAACTACCATCAGAGAATACTACAAACACCTCTATGCAAATAAACTAGAAAATCTAGAAGAAATGGATAAATTCCTCGACATATACACCCTCCCAAGACTAAACCAGGAAGAAGTTGAATCTCTGAATAGACCAATAACAGGAGCTGAAATTGTGGCAATAATCAATAGCTTACCAACCAAAAAGAGTCCAGGACCAGATGGATTCACAGCCGAATTCTACCAGAGGTAAAAGGAGGAACTGGTACCATTCCTTCTGAAACTATTCCAATCAATAGAAAAAGAGGGAATCCTCCCTAACTCATTTTATGAGGCCCGCATCATCCTGATACCAAAGCCGGGCAGAGACACAACCAAAAAAGAGAATTTTAGACCAATATCCTTGATGAACATTGATGCAAAAATCCTCAATAAAATACTGGCAAACCGAATCCAGCAGCACATCAAAAAGCTTATCCACCATGATCAAGTGGGCTTCATCCCTGGGATGCAAGGCTGGTTCAATATACGCAAATCAATAAATGTAATCCAGCATATAAACAGAGCCAAAGACAAAAACCACATGATTATCTCAATAGATGCAGAAAAAGCCTTTGACAAAATTCAACAACCCTTCATGCTAAAAATTCTCAATAAATTAGGAATTGATGTGACGTATCTCAAAATATTAAGAGCTATCTATGACAAACCCACAGCCAATATCATACTGAATGGGCAAAAACTGGAAGCATTCCCTTTGAAAACTGGCACAAGACAGGGATGCCCTCTCTCACCACTCCTATTCAATATAGTGTTGGAAGGTCTGGCCAGGGCAATTAGGCAGGAGAAGGAAATAAAGGGTATTCAATTAGGAAAAGAGGAAGTCAAATTGTCCTTGTTTGCAGATGACATGATTGTATATCTAGAAAACCCCATTGTCTCAGCCCGATATCTCCTTAAGCTGTTAAGCAACTTCAGCAAAGTCTCAGCATACAAAATCAATGTACAAAAATCACAAGCATTCTTATACACCAATAACAAACAAACAGAGAGCCAAATCATGAGTGAACTCCCATTCACAATTGCTTCAAAGAGAATAAAATACTTAGGAATCCAACTTACAAGGGACGTGAAGGACCTCTTCAAGGAGAACTACAAACCACTGCTCAATGAAATAAAAGAGGATACAAATAAATGGAAGAACATTCCATGCTCATGGGTAGGAAGAATCAATATCATGAAAATGGCCATAATGCCCAAGGTAATTTATAGATTCAATGCCATTCCCATCAATCTACCAATGACTTTCTTCACAGAATTGGAAAAAACTACTTTAAAGTTCATACGGCACCAAAAAAGAGCCCGCATCGCCAAGTCAATCCTAAGCCAAAAGAACAAAGCTGGAGGCATCACATTACCTGACTTCAAACTATACTACAAGTCTACAGTAACCAAAACAGCATGGTACTGGTACCAAAACAGAGATACAGATCAATGGAACAGAACAGAGCCCTCAGAAATAACGCCATGTATCTACAACTATCTGATCTTTGACAAACCTGAGAAAAACAAGCAATGGGGAAAGGATTCCCTATTTAATAAATGGTGCTGGGAAAATTGGCTAGCCATATGTAGAAAGCTGAAACTGGATCCCTTCCTTACACCTTATACAAAAATTAATTCAAGATGGATTAAAGACTTAAATGTTAGACCTGAAACCATAAAAACCCAAAAGAAAATCTAGGCATTGCCATTCAGGACATAGGCATGGGCAAGGACTTCAGGTCTAAAACACCAAAAGCAATGGCAACAAAAGCCAAAATTGACAAATGGGATCTAATTAAACTAAACAGCTTCTGCACAGCAAAAGAAACTACTATCAGAGTGAACAGGCAACCTACAAAATGGGAGAAAATTTTCGCAACCTACTCATCTGACAAAGGGCTAATATCCAGAATCTACAATGAACTCAAACAAATTGACAAGAAAAAAACAACCCCATCAAAAAGTGGGCGAAGGATATGAACACACACTTCTCAAAAAAAGACATTTATGCAGCAAAAGACACATGAAAAAAAGCTCATCATCACTGGCCATCAGAGATATGCAAATCAAAATCACAATGAGATACCATCTCACACCAGTTAGAATGGCAATCATTAAACAGTCAGGAAACAACAGGTGCTGGAGAGGATGTGGAGAAATAGGAACACTTTTACACTGTTGGTGGGACTGTAAACTAGTTCAACCATTGTGGAAGTCAGTGTGGCGATTCCTCAGGGACCTAGAACTAGAAATACCATTTGACCCAGCCATCCCATTACTGGGTATATGCCCAAAGGACTATAAATCATGCTGCTATAAAGACACATGCACATGTATGTTTATTGCAGCACTATTCACAATAGCAAAGACTTGGATCCAACCCAAATGTCCAACAATGATAGACCCGATTAAGAAAATGTGGCACATATACACCATGGAATACTATGCAGCCATAAAAAAATGATGAGTTCATGTCCTTTGTAGGGACATGGATGAAATTGGAAATCATCACTCTCAGTAAACTATTGCAAGGACAAAAAACCAAACACTGCATGTTCTCACTCATAGATGGGAATTGAACAATGAGAACACATGGACAGAGGAAGGGGAACATCACACTCTGGGTACTATTGTGGGGTGGGGGCAGGGGGGAGGGATAGCATTAGGAGATATACCTAATGCTAAATGACGAGTTAATGGGTGCAGCACACCAGCATGGCACATGTATACATATGTAACTAACCTGCACATTGTGCACATGTACCCTAAAACTTAAAGTATAATAATAAAAAAAAAGAAAGAAATTCATCTCACTCGTAAAGACACATATAGACAGAAAGTAAAGGAATGAAAAAAAGATATTCTATGCAAATGAAAGCCAAAAGTGAGCTGGAATAGCTATACTTATATCAAATAAAACAAACTTTAAGTCAAAAAACAGTACAAAGAGACAAACCAGGTCATTATATAATGACAAAGGGATCAATTCAGCAAGAGGACATTTCTAAATATTTATGCACCCATCAGCAGGGCACCTAAATATATAAAACAAATTTTATTTGATCTAAAGAGACAGACAGACTACAATACAGAAATAGTTAAGGACTTTAATATCCACTCTCAACATTTAACAGCTCATCTAGGTAGAAAATCAACAAACATCAGATTAAAACTGCAGTTTAGCCAAAGGGACTTAACAGACATTTACAGAACCTTTCATCCAACAACTGCAGAATATACATTCTTCTCATCAGCACACAAAACAGTCCAGGAAAAACAATGTAAGGCCACAAAATGTTTCAACAAACTTTTAAAAGTTGAAAAGGTGCAAAAGTCAAATATCTTATCAGACCACAATAAACAAAAAAATAGAAATCAATAACAAGAAGAATTTTTGAAACTCTACAAATATATGGACACTAAACAGCATACTCTTGAATGACCATTAGGTCATGGAGTAAATTAAGCAGAAAATCTAAAAGTTTCTTGAAACAAATAAAAATGGAAACACAACACATCAAAACACACCGGATACAGGAAAAGCAGTGTTAAGAGGGAAGTTTATAGCAATATGTATCTACATCAAGAAAATATAAAGATTTTAAATAACCTAATGATGCACCTCAAGAACTAGAAAAGTAAGAACAAATCAAACCTAGTATTAGTAGAAGAAAAAAATAATAAAGATCAGAACTGAAATAAATGAAATAGAGACTTAAAAAATAATACAAAGGATTATTGAAATGAAAAGTCTTTAAAAAAAATTGACAAACTTCTAGTTAAACTAAGAAAAAAAAGATGAAAGACCCAAATAAACAAAATCAGAAGGTAAAAAATGGACATTACAATAGATAACACTGAAATACAAAAAAATCCTAAAAGACTGTTATGAAAAACTATGTACTAACAAACTCAAAAATTTATAGGAAATGGATAAATTTTTAGACACATACAACCTACTACCAACATTGAATTAGAAAGAAGTAGAAAAACTGAACAGGCTAATAAGAGTAACAAAATTGAATCAATAATAAAATGGCTTCCACCAAAGAAAAGCCCAGTATCAGATGACTTCACTGCCATATTCTACCTAACTTTTAAAAAATAATTAATACCAATTCTACTCAAACTACCTGTTAAAAAGCAAGAGGAGATAATTCTTCCTAACTCATTTTATGAGGTCAGTATTATGATACCAAAAGCAGACAAGGACACAACAGCAACAACAACTGGTGAACATCTATGTTTTGTATCTATGTTCACAGGCAAACATCCCTGGTGAACATAGATGTAAAAATCCTCAACAAAACAGTAGCAAGCTAAATTCAACAGAACATCCAAAAGGTACTACAACATGATCAAGTGGAATTTATTCCAGGAGCTCAAGGATGGTTCAACCTGCATAAAACAATAAATGTAATACATCACACCAATAGAATAAAGGGTAAAAATCATGTGATCTCAACAGACACAGAAAAACATTTGATAAAATTCAACATTCCTTCATAATATAAACTCAACAGACTAAGCATAAAAGGAACATGCCTCAGTATAACACAGGCCATATATGACACACCTACAAATAACATAATGTATGGGAAAAAGCTGAAATCCTTTCCTCTAAAAACTTGAACCAGACAATGATGCCCACTTTTACAACTCCTATTCAACAAAGTACTGAAAGTCCTACTCAGAGCAATCAGACAACAGAAAGAAAGGACACTGAAACTGGAAAAAAAAAAAGTCAAATTGTCCCTTTTGCAGGTGACATGATCTTATGTTTTAAAAAACCTAAAGACTCCACCAAAAACTCTATTTGGCAAATTCAGTAAAGTTGTAGAACACAAAATCAACAAACAAAAATCAGCCATGTTTTTATACACAAATAACTAATCAGCCAAACTATCAAGAAGGTAATCTCATTTACACTACCAACAAAAAGTAAAAAACCTTAGGAATAAATTTAACTAAGGAGATGAGGAACTCTACAATGAAACCTACAAAAAATTGATTAAAGAAATTGAAGAGGACACAGGCAGATGAAAAGACCATGCTCATGTATAGGAAGGATTAATGTTGTAAAAATGGCCATACTACCCAAAACAATCTACAGATTCAACACAATTACCACCAATATATCATGACATTCTTCACAGAAATAGAAAAGAAAAAAAACTTCTAAAATTCATATGGAACCAAAACAGCCTGAATAACCAAAGCAATCCTGAGCAAAAAGAAAAAAAGCTGAAGGCATCACAATACCTGACCTTAAAATGTGTTACAAGGCTATAATAACTAAAACAGCATGGTATTGGTATAAAAACAGACACATAGACCAATGAAACAAAATGGGCAATCCAGAAATAAATCCATATATTTATAGTCTACTGATTTTTGAAAAGGAGCCAAGAATATACGTCGGAAACAGAATAGGTTCTTCAATAAATGGTACTGAAAAAAACTGGATACCCATAGGCAAAAGAATGAAACTAGACTCCTATCTCTCATCATATACAAAAAATATTGCAAAATGAATTAAAGTCTTAAATATAAGTTCTGAAAGTATAAAACTACTAGAAGGAAACACAGACTAACACTCTAGGACATTGGTCTAGGCAAATACTCTATGGCTAAGGACCCAAAAGCATAGGCAATTAACAAAAAATAGACATATGGGACACAAAAAGCCATATGGGACATAAAAAGATTCTGCACAGCAAAGCAAACAACCAACAGAGTGAAGAGATAACCTGTTGAATGGTAGAAAATATTTGCAAGCTATTTGTCTCACATGGGATCAATATTCAGAATATAAAAGAAGCTCAAACAACTCAACAGTAAAAAAAATAAATAAATAAAAAATCCCATTAAAAAGTGGGCAGAGGATGTGAACAGACATTTCTCTAAAAAGACATAAAAACAGACAACAGATATATAAAAAACACTCATTATCACTAATCATCAGGGAAATGCAAGTCAAAACCACAATGAAATATCATCTAACCCGAGTTTGAATAGTTCTTAAACAAAAAGACAATAACAAATGCAAACCAAAAACATGGAGAAAAAGGAACTCTTATACACTGCTGCTGAGTGTATTAGTCTGTTTTCACACTGCTATAAAGATACTACCTGAGACTGGGTAATTTATAAACAAAAGAGGTTTAATTGAATCAGTTCTGCATGGCTAGAGAGGCCTCAGGAAACTTAAAATCATGGCAGAAGGCAAAGGGGAAGAAAGGTATGTCTTACATGGTAGCAGGAGAGAGAGAGAGGGATAGCAGGGAAAACTGCCACTTATAAAACCATCAGATCTCATGAGAATTCCCTCACTATCATGAGAACACCGTGATCCAATCACCTCCCACCAGGTCTCTCCCTTGAAACATGGTGATTACAATTTGAGATGAGATTTGGGTGGGAACACAGAGCCAAGCCATAACATTCCAATCCTGGTCCCTCACAAATCTCATGTACTTTTCACCTTTCAAAACCAATCATGCCTTCCCCACAGTCCCTCAAAGTCTTAACTCATTCCAGCATTAACCTAAAAATCCAAGTCCAAAGTCTCCTCTGAGACAAGGCAAGTCCCTTCCGCCAATAAGCCTGTAAAATCATAAGCATGTTAGTTACTTCCAAGATACAATGCAGGTACAGGCATTGGGTAAATGTTCCCAGCAACAGCCCGAGCTGTACCTTGGCTGCTTTTAGCCACTGCTGGAGCTGGAACTGGAGTAGCTGGACATAGGGCACCAAGTCCCAAAGCTGCATAGAGTAGCAGGGCCCTGGGCCTGGCCCATGAAGCCAATTTTTCCCTCCTAGGCCTCTGGGCCTGTGATGGAAGGAGCTGCTGTGAAGGTCTCTGATATGCCTTAGAGACATTTTCCCCATTTTCTTGGCTAGTAACATTCCGCTCCTCGTTACTTATGCAAATTTCTGCAGCTGGCTTGAATTCCTCCCCAGAAGACGGGTTTTTCTTTTCTACCACATGGTCAAGTTGCAAATTTCCCAAACCTTTATGCTCTGCTTCCATTTTTAAACATAAGATCCAATTTCAAACCATCTATTTGTGAATGTATATAACTGAATGCTTTCAGAATAAGCCAGGTTACATCTTGAATGTTTTGCTGCTTAGACATTTTTTCCCACCAGATACCCTAAATAATCTATCTCAAGTTCAAAGTTCCACAGAGGGCAGGGGCAAAATGCAAGCAGTCTCTTTGCTAAAGCCTAGCAAGACAGACCTATACTCCAGTTCCCAGCAAGTTCTTCATCTGCATCTGAGACCACCTCAACCTGTACTTCATTGTCCACATCACTATCAACATTTTGGTCAAAGCCATTCAACAAGTCTCTAGGAAGTTCCAAACTTTTCCCCACTTTCCTGTGTACTTTGAAGCTCTCCAAACTGTTACAACCTTTGCCTGTTACCCAGTTCCAAAGTCACTTTCACATTTTCAGGTTATCTTTATAGCATTACCCCACTTTCAGTACCAATTCTCTTTATTAGTCCATTTTTCACACTGCTATAAGGACACTACCTGAGACTGGGTAATTTAGAAACAAAAGAGATTTAATTGACTCACAGTTCCGCATGACTGGAGAGGCCTCAGGAAACTTACAATCATGGCAGAAGGCAAAGGGGAAGCAAGATATGTCTTACATGGTGGCAAGAGAGAGAGAGAGAGCATGCAAATGGGAAACTGTCACTTTGAAAATCATCAGATCTCATGAGAACTCCCTCACTATCATGAGAACAACATGGGTGAAACCATCCCCATGATCTAATTATCTCCCACTAGGTCCCTCCTTTGTCATGTGGGAATTAAAATTCAAAATGAGATTTGAGGCCGGGTGCACTGCCTCACGCCTGTAATCCCAGCACTTTGAGAGGCCGAGGCGGGTGGATCACAAGGTCAGGAGATCGAGACCATCCTGGCTAACACAGTGAAACCCCATCTCTACTAAAAATACAAAAAAAATTAGCCGGGCATGGTGGCGGGTGCCTGTAGTCCCACCTACTCAGGAAGCTGAGGCAGGAGAATGGTGTGAACCCGGGAGGCGGAGCTTGCAGTGAGCTGAGATCGCACCACTGCACTCCAGCCTGGGCGACAGTGAGACTCCATCTCAAAAAAAAAAAAAAAAAAAGAGATTTGAGTGGGGACACAAAGCTAAACCATATCACTGGGAATGTAAATTAGTACAGCCATTATGGAAAATAGCATGGTGCTCACTCAATAAACTAAAAATAGAACTACCATGTGATCTAGCAATCTCACTACTGGGTATGTATCCAAAGGAAAGGAAATCAGTATATCAAAGGGATACATGCACTCCTATGTTTATTTAACACTATTTGCAATAGCCAAAATATGGAATCAACCTAAGTGTTCATCAGCACATGAATAGGTAAAGAAAATGTAGGATATATACACAATAGAACATCATTTGACCATGAAAAAGAAATGAAATCATGTCATTTGCAGCAACATGGATGGAATTGGAGGTCATTATGGTAAGTGAAATAAGTGAGGCGCAGAAAGTAAGATCACATGTTCTCACTCCTGTGTAGGGGCTATGGAAAGGTTGGTCTCATGGAAGTAGAGAGGAGAATGATAGCTACTGAAAACTTGGAAGGGAACCTGAGTATGAGAAGGACAGACGAGGAGAAGTTGGTTAATGTTTACAAACTTACAGTTAGATAGAAGAAATAAGTTCTAATATTTGATAGCAGAGTAGGGTAACTAGAGTTAACAACAATTTATTGTATATTTTAAAATAGCTAGAAGAGAGGATTGCAATGTTTCCATCACAGAGAAATAGTAAATGCTAGACATAGTGAATATCCCAAATACCGTGACTCGATCATGCTAGAAGTAGTGAATATCCTAAATAGCCTGACTTGATCATTACAAATGCTATGGATGTAACAAATGATCACATGTACTCCATAAATATGTACATACATTAAGAATCAATAAAATAAAATAAAGGGGACTCCAGAGAACTCTCTAGCCCTCTTTCTGTCATAGGAAGATGGAACGAGAAGTTGGGTGTCCAAAACCTAGGAGAGGGCTTTCATCAGAACCCATACTGGCACTTTGATCTCAGACTTTCAACCTCCAGAATTGTGAGAAATAAATTTCTGTTGTTTATTTTAGAAAAAAAAAAACTAATGTATGAATATGGTTCAATAATAGGTGGGTTAAAAAGTTACTAATATTAACTAGGAACAATTTCATGAAAAAAATAGATTTCTGAACATATGAAGGATAAGATAGCATAAATCCAGGAAACTATATTATTAAAATATTTAAAAATTTAGAAACAGAAAAGGTAAATATACATACACACATATACAAACATATATCATGCACGCACACATATACATAATGTATGTATGTATATGTATGTATGTATATACCAGAGGGGTATGTGTGTATGTATGCATATGTGTATATGTATGTATCTACTACAGGAGCCAGAACACATTATGGTGACTGGTGAATAGAATTTTCTAAAAATATTAAGCACTCTTGTAGGCAACACTAAATTGATAGTATACCCCCAAATACATATCTCTACAAATCAAAGGTTATCAAGCTTAAACATTATTTGTCCCAAGGAACATTGAGGTAAAACAAATAATTTAAATCATCAAGTATGGACAGGAATGGTCAAGTTAGGAACCCACATTTCCAGTCGTTGTCCTGGAAGGAGCCACCACACTCCTTTCAGAGGTTCATAATGTCACTGATTGTGACCAATTATTAGTGAAATCTGATCACTATAAGGATAAGAAAGAAGTACCTATAAATGATTGTATAAAATATAAGTATGGAATTACATAGAGGCCCAACAATGCCTAGAAAAAGATAACTGAAAAAATAACATATAAAGTAAATAGAAAAAAACAAAATAAACAAATACAAATTAGATTACAAAAAGAAATTATAGAATCATATAATTCTAACAAATCCTGAACTGAGCAGGATGCAAACATTAGTTCAGAGGACAAAATAAGTTTAAAAAGCAGCAATTTTAGTCTTTATTTCATGAGTGTCAAAGGACATTCTTATAACCCCTAGCAATATAACACTTTTTAAAGCCCTCTTCAACATTCTAGTTTGCTTCTATCCAGTTGCTGCTCGGGAGGTTTTCAAAGGGCAAAGGCCCTAGTGTATCTTTCACGCTGGGGCCTAAGAGGCGTCTCTTACACCCAAATTTAGAGATTGATTTATCTGCTTTTGCTAAATCTTCATCCTCTCTTATTGACTCTATAATTCCTTGCCTTGACTCTTTTCTTAATGGAAGAAAACAGGAGAAAAGAAGAGAGGGGTGGAACAGAGGAAGAGAGAAGTGGAGGGGAAACACAGGTTAAATTATATTATCATTTTTATAATATTATTATTACAAAACAATAATTATTTTAATTCAAGTTATATTGAGTCCTTAACTCTGTGCCACAGAACTGTGCTGATTTCTTTACATGCATTATCTCATTTAATTCTCACAAAGACCGTATGTTCTAAATGATATTACTACAAACATTTTTGAGAGCAGGAAACTGAAGATAGGAAGGTTAAAGTAATTATTTCGAGGTCTCATGAAAGATTGGCAGAAATAAGATTCGGGCAAATCCTAACCCTTAGAATCACTGTCTAAACAATTATAATCCCTGCCTCCCCTAGGCCATATTCCCACTGAAACTATGATGGGCAAAGGAGGGGAAACTAGTGGGAGAAGATCTCACAGTTTAGGGGGTGTCTTACGAATACCAGGCTAGTATGGTTCCACGGACCATGGAGAATACATCTCTGAGCTGGGATTCCAATAAAAGTTATTGTAGTCCCTAAGTCAAATCTTGTCTTTTTCTTATACATTATAGCTACCTCTAAAGAATGCTTCAGGGTTCAACATAACTCTAATTTAACCAAGTAAACTAAAAATATCAGTACAATTTGGTTATTAAAATCCATATGAGATAGTTAGATAAATCTGTGGTCATTTACATCCTAAACTACAAAGGCAAGACAAAAGCTAAGCAGGGGTTGGGAGTAAATCAATAATGAAGATAAGATAATCTGTTCTATTTTCTCTCTTTCAACTACAATTTTATATATATATAGAGAGAGAGATTTATCTCTCCAAGCATAATTATATATGTGTATATATGCATATGGATTATATACATTATATATTATACATACACACACATACCCCCATATATATGGGCCACACTTAATGGAAAGCTAGAAGAGAATATCTGTTCCCTCTGAGGGTATAGTGCAGCAGAAAGAAGCTCAAATTAGGTAGGTACCAGCCAGACAGGGCTAATGTGACAGCTAAATGCAGCCCTACCTGCTTCACTGCTAGTTCAGACGCCTGTCAACTGGAATGTGGGCTGCCTTTCAGAGCTTACTTCAGACTAGATTGAAGCTATTTTTATTTCCAAAATAAGTTAGTTAACCTACAAAAAATGTTTTTCAGCCAAAAACTTGTTTTGTTTTGCAAACCTTTAAAATTGTGCAATATTGTCCTACACATTTTAGTAAAACTATAGTGATCTTTCCAAATGGCTGGCTTGAAAAGAACATAAGAAATGTCTGCAAATATATTTAAATATTCATTAACCTTCTTACTAGCTTATTGCTTGGTGTATCTTATACCTAGTCAAATTACTTTTAAGAATGGAATGTGTAACAGACAAACAGGCAGAAGAGTGACAAATGCTAATTTCTATGGCTGAGCCATTGCCACAGAAATAGGCTTAGTCACTCAGTACTATTCCATCCATCAACTAACCTCATGACTGATGAGTCTTTAAGGTATTAAAAAAAACAGTAAAATCTATGTATGCTTACATTTTCCTTATACTTTGGAAAAATTCACTACATATTTTTAAATAATTGAAGAATTTAAGAAATTAGATGTTCTAAAAAGTTTCAAATAAAAATTGACATTAATATTTTGATCTTATATATATAATTAAAATATCTCCAAATATAAAAAACAGAAATAATAGATTCTATGAATAGTTAAAATATTTATATGTGCTTAGATTTCATTTACAAAATAATCTGATACTAAGCAGTAATTACCAAGCTACCAATGTCCAGGTTTAATGCATATGTTATTTCTGTTTCTGATTCCTATCACATTATACATTTCCTTTGTAAAGGTCTAAAATAGGTGCTTCAAGAGTTACACAAAAATTAAAACATAGCTTTTCTTTGAAAAAAGTATGAAGACAATAGAAACAAACAATTCCAAACTATGTACAAATACAGAACAGAACGTTAGTATATCAAATTTCTCAGATGTACTAAAAATTTTTCTCAGCAAAAATCCATCAAAAATGTTTATTTTTTTCTTCTGGTGAGAAGTCATTCTTTTGGAATGACTTTTGGATACCTCCATTGAATTTTGACTGGGAGAACTTAGAACCTAGTATTTTCCAGGTTATTCTGTCTGTTGTACCAAGCACGGTTATATTTGTGATAATATTTCACTCTTTGCTCAAGACTTGTTGTTTATTAGCACTCGTGGCCTGGGCTACAAATGCTTTCAATGTTGAATGCAATAATTTATATCTAAATATAATTACTCTTAAGAGTAATTTAAATATGTGTAGTTTATAATGTGTACATTTTACTCTCATACATCTATTAGAAGTTAAAGAGTGATTCACCATTTTTCTTGGAAGATGGTCCATTGATTTCATTTTATTCTAGAACTATCTAGAATCCTAGCAAATTAAACATCACTAATTTGTATCTTCTTTCTTCCTTTTACATTCTAGTTTTAATAAAACTGTTTATATTTTTCTTGCCTTTTGTTTTTCCTTTTATAACACAATCATCTTTTGGATAAGAACAATGTCTATCTTTTTAATACCTCACATAGTATTCCATACACTGCCTTGCCTGTAGTAAGTGTATAAAAGTACTTTTCAATAAATGGATGAATTCAACCATAAAGTTCATTTAAACAATAAAAGAAATAGGTATTTGGGAGCTCTGAATAACAATCACACTTTGCCATTTAGCTAGAATGTATTACCCCCCAGAGGTACAGTGAACCAAATCTGTCAGCAGCTCAGACTGGAGAGGAATGTGAGTAAAGCCTCTGTCCCGTTTCTAAATGAATTTATAGTAACAGTTCCTTGAACACATTTATCTTTCCATTAAGTAAGTGCAGGCAGGTCCCCTTTGAGATCCGAATGCTAGCTGGCAGGTGGCAGATCCATTCTGGAACTCCTACATCTCAGATTTTGCTCATTTCTGAATTCCCATTTGAGGTACAGTGCATAGCAGAAAGAGCTGCATGGTCTAATAAATAGAATAGAAGTTTATGAATTCTGGATCTTTCACTGACTTGACCTTTTTACTAAAGAAAATAATAAAAAAAAATCCCTATTGCCTTGTTTCCTCATTTTATCATTGAAAATTAAATATGATGATCTAAAGATTTTCTTGCTTGAAAAATTACTTTAAAAATCAGATAGTTTCAGGAAAAAAAATACAAATGTTAGTTCTTTAGTTAGATAATACAGATATTAACAGTGATGGGCAAAGAGGTAGATCCTGACCTTGGGATCTCCCTTGCACAGTCAGCACAAGCCTAAATGGGACAGACAATCGCCCACCCCTCTGAGCAAGAAGGAGGGGGTCACACATGGAGAACAGGCTGGTGCTCACTCATTCAGCTGGCACACTGCACTGAGCACTCTGCCCAGCACAGAGCAGGTGTGCGGTGGCTGCTAGCTGAACTGAGGGACTGATGAAGAAATGCCCTCAGACCCAGTCGGGAGCCAATTGTCAGAGACAATTCTCCCAGTTACACTGCAGCTGCCATTATGCTTTCTCTGTTGCTGGCTCTTTGTATTACTCTGAAACAGAGTTCTTTACCAGCAGCTGCGTGGACTACACAGACTGCATGAGATAATACATTAAAGCAGTTCGCACAATTCCTGGCACATGGTGCATAGGCAGGTGTTGGACGATGATGGCGATGATCACCAGAAGAGCGGTAATCTCTTCAGATGGATACTCTCCAGAACAAGGAACCAGTTTAGAAAGTATAATGCTTCAACCCTTCTGCACCCACTGTTAGCCTAAATGGGAGAACAGGCCTCATGCTGTTTAAAACAGCAGATCAGGTTCTAGATGGCAAAGGAGCATGGAGGAAATTAACATATAATAACCTGATCCCTACACAATGTGTTATGTACATGACGCTACAATTCAGTTGAACTCAGAATGCCAAAAAATAAAAAATTGAGTACATATAAGTTACTGACAAATTTAGAATTCAAGAATAAAGATGAGTGGTAAAATATTATAATGTCTTGTATTTAATATTAAATGAAGGACTGCTATTGCACAGATAATTTCACTACAGCATGTAAACTTGGACAAGTATGACTATTATTTTTTCTAGTCTTCAGTTTCTTCATCTATAAAAGGAGGGGATTGAATCAGGTGGATTTTAAGGCATCCTGTGGCTAACATTCATATTACTAGAAAATCCACATTTTACTCTGATTTTATACCGGTTTTGTAATATAACCATAACCCTTATTTGTCTGTCTTCTCTGCATAATTATTTACTCTTTACATTCTACATATGTCTGTCTCTCTCCATAATTCTTTATAATGTTGTGTGCTTGCTTAACAAACTATTGTATGAACATTTCATACAAATTAATAAGGGTAATCAAAAGTAATTATTCTTAGGCCATTGACTGTGTTCATATCCTAGCAAATTACTGCCTGAACAAATAAAACCTGCCAATATTTATATTATGGTCTTTTCTTTGTTGTTTCACCTTCATTGCTGTTAAACTTCTCATGTACATTAAATCTCAGCCTGGCCTCCTCATTCTTCGAAGAAGAAAACTAAAATTCTTTCTTTCCTACCCAAAGTCATTCTCCAATATTACAGCATTTTACCTCCTTTTGCCTCCTCTTACACAGTGAAAACACAAATCTGCTTATGACTTATGTTTTTGAACTACCAGAGAGATTTTATTACAAATTAAATGCATTAAAGAAAATTTCAGAAACTGCATGATGAAATACCTTTAAAAATATATGAATTTTTAGTGAGCCAAGATAGTGCCACTGCACTCCAGCCTGGGTGGCAAAGTAAGACCACATCTCTCTCTCTCTCTCTCCATATATATATATCTATATTCCATATATATACACATATATAATTTCCATATACACACATATATATATTGTTTCCATATATATATGAAGAAATCTGTATCTTCACACTTTGCCATACAGCTAGAATGTATTACCTCCTAGAAATACAATGAGCCAAATCTGTCAGCAGCTCAGACCGGGGCGGGGAATGTGAGTACAGCCTCTGTCTTGTTTCTAAATGAATTTATAGTTTATTATAAATAAACTATACAGTAATGTGTGTGTGTGTATATATATATCTCACACACATATATATACATATATATACACACATATATATATAAAGATTTTTGTCTCTACATGTGTGTCATTGAGTACCCATGAGGGCTGAAAGGAAGAGACAAATTGATGAATTAGGAAGAATATTCAAATTCAGCAATGTTCTGAAGATCAAGTAAAGTAGGCAGCACTGAGTGATAGTGGTTGCTGAGATTCAGATAAGAAACTGTCTTGGCCAGAATTAATGTCATGAATAATTAACAAATCCATTTGTTTAGTGTTCCTGTGAATTTGAATAAATGTCTATGTCTCTCCAAACCAGTGCTCTCTGGCTTAAGCTGAAAGCTACCAAAAAATAGTGATTGCCAATTAGCTTATTTTGAACAACAACCAGTAAATACAGCCTAAAATGTGGCTGACACTAATTTTAACAATAAGAGTTTCCATTGGCCCTTTATGTTTATCTTACACAAATACGGGCTTTCATTCTTTCAAAAACTCTTGTTGGATACCATTTTCTTTAACAAGATAATTTTATAAACAGTATTATTTCCCTGTAAGATTTTAAAGCTTCATAAGGAATGATGTTCAATACATGAAGTTTTAAAGTTATAAATGTTAAAGCTTCAGAAAATGACTACTTTGCCTTTTTCCCAAGAATAGTATATACTTACCATACATATTTTCTCTATAACTTTTCTTTCTGATATATATATCTTTTAAATGTACCATTCCGCAAGCAGAAAATCCTATTTGTTTTTACTGCCACATTATCTAAACTCCTTTAAACGTTTATACAAAAAGTCCAAGATGTTTAGATAATTTTCAAACATCATGTACAGAAACTCTTCACTTTTTAAATATAAATGATTAAAGGACAGCTGTGAAGCAGGTAAGAAAATGCCAACAAGTTTTCAATTAAAAGTTCCATTTAACTAATGTAATTATTCTTACCTAATTAAATTTTTTTTACTAAGATCAGTCCATTGAGATATCTCATTCTGTTTTAAAATGTTACACAAAGCTCTTACTAATGTCCATGAACCACATTGTATTGATGAGATTGTTAATGAACTCTCTAGCAACAATGCACTGGCCTTAATAATTTAGAACCTGTTAAATCTTGTCCGCTTTTTACTACATTTGGAACCGCTATTGATTTAGAGAAGAGTCAATACCAAGGGGAAGTATTCTTTGCACTTCCAGCTGGTCTCCAATACATCCAATTATCTTGATATTTGCAGCTCAGATTAGGTACTTGCATTTAAAAATTTATATTCATCAATGTTGTTTATATTTACCTTTTTCAATATGATGAATTAAAATAGATTTTTACGGTGTTAACAGACTGTGATTTTTTTCTAAATTTGGGACCTAGGTGTATGCAAACCAAAAATACACTAGAAATTTAGGTCCATGAGTTCAAATATTCACGTAAGTATTAATTCCAAATGCCAATAAAAACTGATAACCTAAAAATTAAATTATAGCAAAGGCCATCTGTAAGCATGATTTGAAAAAGACTTAAAAAGTTAGAGAGATATTCTGAAAAAAATGAAACAATACATATGCAAACAAAACATATCAATATGCATCTTTTATGACTTTTTATGTTCTTATTGTGTTTAGCTTTCTATCTTGTGCTCATTACTCTACAATAATTGTAGTAGCAACTTGTCATAAAATTTTGAAAAAGTACAATTTTCATAGAAAGAATATGAGATTTAGAGTTTTAGCTTTTTAATTTCTTAGTGGCAATGGGAAGTCATGTTATCTTTCTTAGCTTCATTTTCCTCACCTTTAAGTAATATGGTAAGCTACCTCACAGAGTTGTTGTAAGAATAAAGTTAGATAAATTTATAAAAGTATGAATTATAAAGCTTTTTAAATATGTCATAATTATAAAACAACTTAACTGAAAATCTCAAGTATGTTAACAACTGATAATATCAATTTAGATGGGACAGAGTTTTTGGTTTTGTTTTTTAAATAAGAATTGATTTCTACACTCATATTTATAGTGTACCTCAGATCCTTAACTTGAAGACCTTCCATCTCTTCACTAGTTTTTTTTTTCCTTTTTTTTTTTTTTTGAGACAAAGTCTTGCTCTGTTGCCAGGCTGGAGTGCAATGGCACGATCTCGGCTCACTGCAACCTCCTCCTCCCGGGTTCAAGCGATTCTCCTGCCTGAGCCTCCCGAGTAGCTGAGACTATAGGCGCGTGCCACCTTGCCTGGCTAATTTTTTGTGTTTTTAGTAGAGATGGGGTTTCACCATGTTAGCCAGGATGGTCTCGATCTCCTCACCTCGTGATCCGCCCGCCTCGGCCTCCCAAAGTGCTGGGATTACAGGCATGAGCCACAGCACCTGGCCCTCTTCACTATTTTAATTAACATAAATGTTTCCTATTTTGAAAATATATTGCTTTAACTAATTATTGTTTTATTGCCATGAGGAAATGCCTCTGCTTGCTCATTCTTAGTTCTCTTGAATATCCCTGCCCCATATGAACATACACTTTCTCATTGTGTTGTTTCCTGTGTCTGTAAGTGCATTACAGTTTGATTTGGTCATTCAACAACACTTATGTTATTAATGTGTTACTGACAACAAATACAATTATGTGGTTGGGCAATAAAACTTGGAAATCAAAGATGATTTAGTTCTTTGGAGTACTTACAGTATGTGAGTGGGACAAACAAGTAAACCAAAATTTTAATGCAATGCCATATGCAGGGTAATAGAAGGGTACTTAATTTCATCTGGAGTAGTTCCTATCTATTAATGTTAGAGAGTAGTCTTTGCTTCAAAGATTTTTCTAGCAACATCAATAGCTTCAAAAAATAAAAGGAGTGGAAAAAAGCTAAAGAATCAAAAGTTGAGAGGAATGGTGGCATTAGGGAAGAGATCAAACCAGAAGTTTCACTAGTTTTTTTCAAGATTATACTTTATTCATTTTCTGAGATTCCCAACATCTGCTTTCAGGCTATTAAAATATTCTTGTCCTTTTAGAGGATAAACATTAAAGGATTTATTTAAGTTTATTCTTACTTCATCTTAGAACTGATCCATGTGAAAGACTCAAAGAGTAGAATATGGAACTCAGAAGACCAGGAGTATGGTCCTAGTAACTCAGTGGCATCTTCAGTGGGAACTGTTGTTCTGCCTTCTCAACATCTCTTCTTACTGCAGCAGAATCCTCTTCCACTTCAGTCCATTTCCTGCTTTAATCTCCTAGCTCCAGGTATAAACATATATTTCAGGCCTTGTCACAGCTATTGCTTCAGGCATGGCCAAGTGAAACAAGCTCAGCTCATTAGTTAAACCCAAGCTTTTTGAGGAAGCCATTAGGAAAGAGGTACTTTCTTTCTTGTGGGGTCCCAGACTGGTGGATTATAAACCTTGATGCCACCTTTATATCTCCCTCTGAGAATGAAGCCAGTAGAGAAAAGAGAGGAAGTGGGAGAAGAGGAACCTGTTGATAAGGACTTTCTTTGGGCACCTGGATCCAGCTATGTTTGAAGACAAATTATCCTGTACTTTAAAAGAAAGATAACTATAAACACACATGCACACGTATGTTTATTGCGACACTATTCACAATAGCAAAGACTTGGAACCAACCCAAATGTCCAACAATGATAGACGGGATTAAGAAAATGTGGCACATATACATCATGGAATACTATGCAGCCATAAAAAATGATGAGTTCATGTCCTTTGTAGGGACATGGATGAAGCTGGAAACCATCATTCTCAGCAAACTATCGCAAGGACAAAAAAACCAAACACCGCATGTTCTCAATCATAGGTGGGAATTGAACAATGAGAACACATGGACACAGGAAGGGGAACATCACACAACAGGGACTGTTGTGGGGTGGGGGGAGGGGGGAGGGATAGCATTAGGAGATATACCTAATGTAAATGACAAGTTAATGGATGCAGCACACCAACATGGCACATGTATACATATGTAACAAACCTGCATATTGTGCACATGTACCCTAAAACTTAAAGTATAATAATAATAAAAAATAATAATAAATAAAAATAAAATAAAACAAAATAAAAATTCAAAAAATTGCAACCTCAGGCATAAATGGGTTAATAATGAGTCCAGAACTGGGCTTCCATAACCGCTTTATTTCTTACATCTGTGTTCATTTAAATGAAGGTTCCAGAAATTTGTCTAAAAGGATAAATTGCAAGTGAAAAAGTATTCAAATGTTTAATTCAAATAGAAATTTAAATCAAACCACACTAGCTATTTGTACTTTTTGTCTATAAAAGTTATACAACCCGTTGCACTGAATAAAAATTTTTAATGAAAAAAGAAAAAAAAGAAAGATAACTAATATGCTTCTTTTTGCTCTTAACTAATTTTATAAAATTTTAGACAGCTCAAAATGAAAGAATCAAATGATAACAGTCTTAGAGTTTAGTTTCTTCAAGGCAAAGTGATATCATTACTTTTATCTCCATATAAGTTGGAATATACATTTAAGGAAAATGAGATGTGTATAAAATCAAACCATAAATAATTATACATATTAAAGTACTAGACAATATAATAGGTACATAAAATAAATTTACTGAATATATTATCTTCTGATTTTTAAGACATTTTTGTAGAAAAACATTCAATTTACTAGGAAAATTTTAGGCAATCACTAAACTATTCCTATAGTTTTGTAAAGGCACAAAATGGAATATGTGAGTTGGTGCAGAAGAACACACTATACCTGCCAAAAATACATGGATCTGAATTTTGTTTGAATCAACACTACCCTTCCTATTGTGACTATGCAGGTTCAGGAATAATCAGAATGTGTACTGAAGCCAAAAACTTTAATGGTACACTGCTGTGAACACTAATAAGAAAGAAATCATAAAGGACTCCAAAAACAAATGCCAACTAATACTCTACAATGCCCTTTTAGCCGGTAGGTCAATAGACTGACATCAAAATTGGAAATGACCAATTAAGCTGTATCAGTTAACTCTTGACATTTATACTTCTGAGTTTTATACTTGATGAAACCAATTATAAATCACCAACCAGGACATAAAAGACTTTCATTACAACAACAATTTTTTTGCACTGAATCGTATGCCATTTAGGAAATTAATTCAAAGAAGACAAAGAGCAGTAGGTGAGGTGATGACACTTTACTCAGGAAAAATAACAGTTTGATAACCTTCACCTGCTTCATCTGATGACTAGCAACAGCTGCAGCCAAGGTAAGACAGGGTGGTGACGTATGGGCAAGGACTCAGAGGAAAACCAGAATGAACAGCAACTCCACAGATAAATAAGCAACAGGAGGATGTTAGAAATGTTTTTAAAAGCATAAGAATCATCACTAGAAAAAACAAAAAAGACATTTCAGAAAAAACAAGGCAGTAACGATAGACTTGTGAAAGGTGTCAAAATCAAATGAGTCACTAATGTTAAAAAATGAACAAACAAAAAGCCCTGGCAGAACCAGAGAACACTGTAAAGAGAAGGTTACCATTCTTGTATGTCTGATAACAAAAAAATACAAAATCCACAATCTTGCACAAAGGCCATCAGAACCTTACACAAAAACATATTTCTACAAGGGCATTTGCCCAGCAACTGCCTGTCTAACCTCGGACTGGCGATAACCTTGTTATTGGTCTCTGTAGCCAAAGGTAATTATTTCAGAAGAATTATATAATCTTCCTGCTTTTTCTCTTTGAAAACCTCTGTCTTCCTTTACCTCCCTAACTATGTGCATAGTTTACTTTGACGTGCATATTCCCATTACAATGCTTTATTTTCAAATAAATACCTTTTCTTTTAGAGGGCCTCTCTCACTGTTACTTAGGTTGACAGGCTATAGCATAAAATATTCTTTCCTCGTTATTTGGAACAAACAAGTATATACATTTATTTAGAAAGAAACTCAAAAAGATACTCATAATTTGTTTAATCTTAACCTTGAGTTTATCTTGTGGGCTAGATTTGAGAATCCAGGAGAAGAGACTCCTATAAAGCATACATTTACTCAAATAGCTATCATAGCACCTGAGTATGTCCAATGAAGCTCAGCAAAGGGCTCTTAACTATTGAGTAGACTTCTGTATTTCCAGGGTTCACAGCATCAGATAATATTTCTTCTCTTCCTCTGCATTCCTGACTCTAAACTCCTCCACTTCCCTCTTCTGCAATTGTATATCCTTTAGTGTCTTTTCTTTCTGACCTCTTAAAGGCTACCCAATGAATATACACATTCTATTGCATTTTGAAAGAAAAATTACTACAAAGATACTTTCATTTATGTCAAATGGTGAGCAAAATTCAACATACTGTATACTTGGGCATTTGTATCTACTTTTTTTTCCAAGGAAAACAGTACAAAGATATTACACATATCCATCATGCAAGGTAGAAGATTAAAGTTTACTTTTATTTTCTTATACTTTTGAAATTAACCAAACCAGAAGGAATACCCTTAACCAAAAGTTAAAAGCATGAAGTTTAGTACAGATATAAAAAAATCAGAGCAATAATAAGCATATCAGCTATAATTTTAGCCTCTTAGGTCAGTTTTTAACTATATATCCTAAATGATAATCTGTCTTTTTTTAAATCAGAAAAATAGTAAATATTTCACAAAGAAGTTATTTAGCCACAAGGTTACTTTCTATAATACCTACCACATGGCACTGCAGTAGGCACTTTAAGATATTATTTAACTTAATTTTCTTTAACAATCTCATGATATAAACAATACATGCCAAGGAGCCAAGGCTCAAAGCACTGAGTAATGGGCACACCTAAAATCTAAACCCAGGCTATTAAATTCCAAAGATTGTGGGTTTTTTCTATCTAAACCATGAGGTTTAGATAATAGAAATTACTGTGATATATAGCTGTGTGCCTAAACAATATGATTTAGGCATCTATTTTAGAGTTCAGTGTCCCTCATATTAACATAATACAATGTGCATTATGAAACAAAGATTATGGAAGACAGCTTTCATTCTATGTCCTCTCTTGATGATAAAAATTTACTTTCCTCATCTAGAGGTGAGAGAGAATCCATAACATTTCTAGGTGAGAGAAACCATAATTTGCTCACCAGACACAGATGAATAATGATGTGCTAGCAGCTATGATTAGGTGCTAGAAAAAGGTGGTAATATCACTGGGGAGAACAGTCTGAAAATGCATGTCAAACACCAGTTGGGACATTGTAGTTTGACTTGAGAAACTTATTCCATGGAACAAAAAAGGAAAAATGTACATGGATGCATTTACAGATGTGTGCATGACAACATGGCTTATATTACTTGAAAATGCAGCAGCCTTAATGTTTCTCAACAAGGTTAAGCAATTTATGTTGTGTTTCTATAAATAAATAACACTATTAAAATTATACAGGGTGAGTGTAGTGGCTCATGCCTGTAATCCCAGCACTTTGGGAGGCCAAGATGGGTAGATCACTTGAGCCCAGGAGTTTGAGACTAGCCAGAGCAACATGGTAAAACCCCATTTCTACTAAAAATACAAAAATTAGCCAGGCATGGTAGCGCATGCCTGTGGTCCCAGCTACTTGGAAGGCTGAGGTGTGAGGATCACTTGAGCCTGTGTGGTACAAGTTAACAGTGAGCTGAGATTGCACCACTGCACTCCGGCCTGGGTGACAGAGGCAGACCCTGTTTCAAAAAAAAATAAAAATAAAAATAAAATAATTATCTAGACCTATATTTATGACATAAGGATGGATGTTAACATTTCCATACTCATAAAATAATATATTCCTATTATAATGCATTGTAATAGTACAGAATTATATCTAGTAAAACATTTCAGATCCCACCACCCATGCTCCTGACTTCCTCAGAGGTAATTATTCTCAACAGTGTGGGCCTACATAGACCCAGTCACACACATATTGTGTTTATTTTTATTATTTTAATCAAAAGTCAAATATACAATAATTTGCTTTAAAAAAATCTAAGAATATATTTTTCCAAGTTAGAATTAATAGATATACCTCATTATTTTAACAAATAAATGTATTTCAACTATGCATATTCTTAAAATGTACATTATTTAGGTGTAAAACAAAATATAGCTTATGACTGTCATATTAAGTATATCTTATCCATCTATCTCCATAAATACATAAAGAAAGAAAGAGAGATCATAATAAATCCAAAATGTTTATAATGGTAATGGGATTACAGAAAAGTTTACCTTTCTTTTTTATATTTCTACATTCTGTGAGAAGAATACTCTCTTAAGGAGAAAAAAAGGTGAATTGATTACTGTTTGGAAGAAAATTAAATAACTAAAGCACAATTTTACTCATGATTGATATGTAAGAATTATAAAAGTATTGTGCTGATAAACCGCAGAATTAATGGACCAAAAGCAAATTAAAATTTCAATTAAAAGTAGCAGTTATTTCTTCTGAATTCTAGATAGTATTCAATGTTTACCTGAGTTACTTCTAATTTCTCAGAAGTTTACAAATTTCCCCTCTTTTCATATGTAAAGTCAACCAGAAGTAGGAGTTAGGCACCAAGATTGCTAGGTTACATAAAAAGAATTGCCTAAAAGCCACATCAGTCTAAAGACAATCCCTTTGGACACCTACAAACACCAGCCATGCATGCCATCTTATCTACTGTGTCAGGAGACATAAACAATTATTTTCCAAAAATGAACATCAAAAGGAATGTGGTTAATCAAGTAGTATCATAAAGCTTTTCCACAAGCATTGTTCTGTTAATTAACATCATGTCTATTTCCTGCAAGTGAAGGCCCAAACCTAAATTAAATTACAGCAGCACTTGCTAAGAATGGGGCTCATTTGGAACAGGACTAATATGCTTTCTTTCTGTCTTGAGCAGAGTTGTGAGTAGGAAGCTCAACTTCAGAGGACAACACTCCCAGAAGTCATTTGGCCATAAAGACATGCTGTAGTAAACTAAAACACAGTTTGACAATTATCTGTCATGACTAGATGTTGTAAACTAGAATAGTTGTTTTAGGTTTTATATCCAACTTTATCATAAAAAAGAATTTGAGGTAAGTGTAGAAGATATTATTCTTCCAATTGAATACTATAGAACTTCAACAGGTGCTCATTTATATCAAACATTACTTTAATGCTTCAAATATTTCAGGAACTCTTCAGGATATCATTTTTATATCCTCAATTATTAAATCTTTAAACACAAGATTCTTTAAAAATTGAGGTCATGATTAGAAACATACACTTAATAATATAGCTACTTCACTTTAAACAAAATTCTAGTAAATATTACAATTTTTTTTTTCAGGTTGCTCTAAAAGCAACCTGAACAAAAGCCCAAACATACCGAATAGTTATTATAAACATAAGTGGAATAAGTGCATAAAATATATCAGGCAAATATGTTCCAATGATGCTGGACTTTGTTCATCATTTTCTTAAAATAATCTCTTCAAATTAGAGAATGCTTTAGCTTGATGTTTGGATCCTTATTCTAATTAATGCATCTTGCAAAACAAAGACATTTTAACATACTTTAATCAAGAACAGTTTAAATGTTAATGATATTAAACTCATATGCAACATTTTTTAAATTTAGGCTTTGTGATACAATAAAAAAAGGATTCCACAAAAATAAATGACTCATAGCTTTTTTGGAGAAATTAAGTTTAAGTAGATGTATAAGAAAATCCAAATTTGCTATCTGCCATGTTTCTAATTTCTAGATGAAGAGTAGTTTTAATCACATGCACTCAGATGAAACCCTACTTTAAAATAGTGCCTTCCATTTATACAGACTTTCAAGAATACCAGTTATAAAATTAATTTCCGCTTCGTGGAGAGGGAGAGAGAGGCATTGGTTTCATAAGAAAACACTCCTTGAAGGAAAAAAATATCTTGACTATTTTCATGTGACTTCTCCAGACAGCATAGCAGGTACCTGCCTCCAGGCTAGGCAGATTAATTTTGGGACTAACACAAGTAGCTTTTGCAAAATAAATGCAGTCTCCAAAGCTGAAATGCAATCTGAAATAATTGAATCATTCCACTATTCTTCCTAGAAAAAAAAATGATGTGTCCAATAGCCATTATCATTGTTATTTATATATTACTACATTAACATATACATAATGTCATTTAGATTCAGAAGGAATTCAGAGTGAAACACACATTAAAAAAGCACACACGCATTCAGTACTCAGCTGCCCTATGCTAGGCACTAAGCTAATGCTAGAGAGATAAACATAAGCAAGATATATGTAGGGTCTGCCTTTATGGAGTTCACGCCCAGTAAAATGTAGGCAATTGAAGATGCAGTACAAATTAAGGTGAATAAATGCTAAAACTGAAATGAGGAACAGGGTGCTATAGCATGCACATACAAAAAACACTAACTGAAATTAACTTGGGGGACTCAGAGAAGGCTTTCAGAAGAAAGTGATGTTGACACTAAAGAAGTCTAAGAGTTAGGTGGAGAAGGAGAAAGATGTGACAGCTCAGAAATGAGAGACAACAAGACAGTGTTGAGAAGCTGAAAAATGTTCCTCATAGATGAAGCACCAGTGAAGGTGTGGATTTGCAGTGATAATGGATGAGGCTGGAGAAGGTAATAAGTAATAATTAACAACAAAACACACACACACACAGAAAAATGAAGATTTCGTCAGCCATGGCTAGGAGCGTAGATTTTATCTGTAGGATGAGTGGAAGATATTAAAGTGTTTTCAGAGGACAGAAATGATCAGATTTACTTTTAGGAAAGAGCACTTCCTGAGTGGGGAGAATGACAGACACATTGGTATAATACTAGAGGCAGGAGATCCTTCAGGAAACTCATTAAAAATAATCCTAGTGACTTCAGCCTGGGTAACAGGGTGAGACCTCAACTTTAAAATAATAACAATGATGATAATGAAGAGAAGGGAGGCTACAATAACTCCCAGGTTTATTAGTGTTTGGGCCAAAGGGAAGATGGTCATAATATTCACTGAGATAAAAAGTAATGCAGATAAATGCTATTAGAAATACACTTTCACATATTTCTTCATTCTCTCACCTTGCTTTTCTTCAGAGCACTTTTCACTTTCTCATCTCTCTCTCTCTCACACATACACACACACAGAGTGCTGGTTATCTTTTCCCTCTTCTAAAACATAATCTCTATGTGTATAGAGACTTCATTTGACTGCTGTATCCCCATCAGTAATCAAGAGGTTTCAGGAAGATGTCACGGAAGATGATATTGAGTTTCCAAACTTGCAAGTGGAGGCGTCTGGTACATGAGTTCATGGCTCAAAGGAGAGGTATGGACCTGGGTTATAAATTTGGAAATCATAAATTTATGAGAAGGATTGGAACCACAAGAGCAAATGACACTCAGGAATAAAGGTAAATTGAGAGAAGATAGCCCTGAGATTCTCTGACATATAAGTGATGAAGGAAGAGAAGCATGAGAGAGAGAGACAGTGAATACAGAGAACCAGGAGATACTGGTGTCAGGGAAGCCAAAATACAGGATTTAAAACCTTATTTAAGTTTCTGATCTTGGGATCACCTTCCTTAAGGACAAACGTTTATCTCTTTTCTTGTCAAATCAGATAATACATTCAAGTGGTTTTTGTTCTTAGACTTATTTGTGCAAACACCGGTACTATTTAAATACTGGAAGCAAACAAGGCTGGCTTCATAATTTGCAGGGCCCAGGAAAAAAAAACAAAAAAACAAAAAAACGCATGGCCTCTTTTCCAAATAATATTAAGAATTAAATAAGGTCCCATGTGACTATATAGATCACACACCTATGAAACTAGTCCAGAAAAATATCTAACATATTTTAAATTTCAACTAAGTTTAGATGAATTAACAGGAATATGTTATTTTTCATAAAAGATTTATACTATTTCATCTGGCCAAATTTCTTAAACCTTGAGTGAACAAAGAAGAAGAATTTCCCCTGGTTACTTATTTAATGGCATGAGATGAATTCAAAAGGGGATTGATTTTAGTAGAAAATACAGATGATTTTGATTGGCTAATAAATTGAATAAGATGCTAACTTCCACATAGTAAGAAAAATCAGACAAGAAATGTGTGTCTTCTGGGAGACATAGACATTCATAACACATTCAAACAGCTAGTTAATTTGTGTTGTTTAATCAGATATCAGCAACTAACAAAGAGTGACTAAATAAGACTTATATGCCATTTCTAGAAACCTCACATTCAGAGTGGTTTTCAGGATTGAATAAATTAGGACATTACACTGACCCAGAGCTTTGGCACCCAGGAAATCACTCAGTTGTTAAAAACAAATCCTGCTACTCGAATGTTCTTACCACATTGTCATCAAATCAAAGCAGTAGGGACAGCCACTTTGATTTTCTGCCAAGACCCTCAATCTGTACATTGTCCTTTTGTCATTTCTTGTTCCTCTGGAGGATGGCCTTGATGTTCTTTGAAACATTATTTCATTTGTACATGAGCGTCTCCAAGGAACGCCCAGCATGATTTGTCCTGGCACTGTGGCCTCTTGTAGACAGCCCTGGAATCTATACCTGCTGTTGAGTCTGTCTGGGCTGACTCTAGGAGATCTACAATCAAAAGCCAGCTCTTAAGTCTGATGATTCAGTCACAAAGAAGTGTCTCAGCAAAACAAATACATTTTTAAAAATCCAAAATGTACTGAAAATATTATACTTTGATGGTCACTTTAGTTTGCTTCTAGATTAACCTCATGGGTATCTGAAACTGACCTGCCTGACATGTGTACTTTTTAGCTGAATATTAACTGGACAAGAAAGCTGTAATTAGCATCTTGAATTAGAAAAAAACTTCAAATCCTGTCAAGGCACGTACTTAATGACACCATTTTAGACAGAGTCATTTATCAAACTAGACCAGGCAAATGTTGGTCTTGTCACCCTGAATACCTGGATTCAAAGGCAAATTAAGAGCCTAAGTCATTCACTGTCATTCAGAAGTAATTAGGAAGAACCTAATTTTAAAAAAGAAAGAAAGAAATTGGGGCTGGATGGTGGCTCACACGTGTAATCCCTGCACTTGGGGAGGCTCAGGCAGGATTATTTGAACCAGGAGATACCGGTGTCAGGAAAGCAAAACCCAGCATTTTGGGAGGCTCAGGCAGGATTGTTTGAAACCAACTTGGGCAGCATAGCAAGACCCTGTCTTTAAAAAAAATAATAAAATAAAAAAATTAGCCAGGCTTCATGATGCCCACCTGTAGTCCCAGCTACTTGGGAGGCTGAGATGGGAGGATCATTCGAGCACAGGAGTTTGAGGCTGCAATGAGTTATGATAGTGCCACTCTACTCTAGCCTGGGCAACAGAGTGACACCCTGTCTGAGAAAGAAGAGAGAGAGAGAGAGACAGAGACAGAGACAGAGGAAGAGGAAGGGAGGGAGGAAGGAAAGGAAGGGAGGAAGGAAGGAAAGGAAGGGAGGAAGGAAGGAAAGGAAGGGAGGGGAAAGGAAAGGAAGGGAAGGAAGGAAAGGAAGGAAAAGAAACAAACAAAGGAAAGAAAGGAAGAAAAGAAAAGAAGGGAGGAAGGAAGGAAAGGAAGGGAGGGGAAAGGAAAGGAAGGGAAGGAAGGAAAGGAAGGAAAAGAAACAAACAAAGGAAAGAAAGGAAGAAAAGAAAAGAAGGGAGGAAGGAAGGAAAGGAAGGGAGGGGAAAGGAAAGGAAGGGAAGGAAGGAAAGGAAACAAAGGAAGAAAAGAAAAGAAGGAAGGAAGGAAGAAAGGAAGGGAGGGAGGGAGGGAGGGAGGGAAATGGGGGCATTATTGTAAAATCTGATTAGGTAAAATCTTTGCATCTGGTTTTGTTATAAAAGTATAACCTTGAAAAATCGTGACCAGAAAAGCTTTCAGTCTGAGTTTGAAGAAAGGCAAAATACCTTAAGGTCCTATTTTAGTGAATTATTGTGTAAGATAGTGATTTGTTGCTTCAGTGTGGAGTTTTGTTAATTTTTTAGTCTGGAAAGGAATATTGCAAAATAATGTGGGAAAGCTAAAAATATAGCCAACAGAGATAGAGCATGTGTGCTATCATGAGCTCTGGAGAAATGAAGGGGTGGGGCCACAATTGCAAAATATTGTTTTCCCAACTGATTTCCTAATGAGTCAGTTATATTTGCCTTTAGGGGAACCTGTATTAACTTAAAATAGCTGCATGGGGAAAAAAAAAGAAGAAATGACTAAAAATCATTAGAGTCACACAGACTTAAGTGTTCTTGCTTTCCCTTCATTTTCCTTTATTATTGCTCAGCACCAGACATACCACAAAGGCCACCCAGCAATTCACATTGTTTCCATTTGTAGCCATGGAATTCAAAGATAGTGGCCCTAGAGACTATTTCTGTGTACAGGTATGCTTGAAAAGACTAATGTGTGATCCAGCAGTCCTCTTCTCCCTGAATGCTATGATCTTTCTAGATGGAGTCAAAAGAGGACACTCAATATTAGAGTTCTTTGAACCATTTAACTGTCTTTGGATAGTTCTGTTCAGATTCATTTCTGAAGAATCACTGAGACTTCATGTCATGTCCATCAACTAAGAGCTGACATTTGATTCTTATTACTATTTAACATGTATTAAGTATCTCATATGAGACAGACACTGTGTAGATGATATAAAACATAGCTGTCAAAGTCAAGAGATGAAAAATTAATTTTGTATGACAGTGTTAACTTTTCATAGATTGTACTTGATAAGCAAAAATCTCAACATAAAATAGTACACAGCTTAAGAGGCATAGTTTGTGTTAACCTTGATTTATATATAATTATATATAATTAAATATATAATTATATAATTAAATATAATTAAATATATAATTATATATAATTATATATAATTAAATATATAATTATATATAATTAAACATATAATTATATATAATTATATATAATTAAACATATAATTAAATATAATTATATATAATTATATATAATTATATATAATTAATTAAATATAATTAATTATATATAATAAATATATAATTAAATATAATTAATTATATATAATAAATATATAATTAAATATAATTAATTATATATAATAAATATATAATTAAATATAATTAATTATATATAATAAATATATAATTAAATATAATTAATTATATATAATAAATATATAATTAAATATAATTAATTATATATAATAAATATATAATTAAATATAATTAATTATATATAATAAATATATATAATTAAATATATATATTTAATTCCATAATCTCACAGTCATTTAATTAAATATCACTGAATTCATATTTAGGTAGTTTATAAAAACTTTCACAGGTATTTCATCACTCAACAATGTTAAACATTTTACATATACATATTTTTGTTTAAAAAATAAAATGCTGGCCGGGCGCGGTGGCTCACGCCTGTAATCCCAGCACTTTGGGAGGCCGAGGCGGGTGGATCATGAGGTCAGGAGATCGAGACCATCCTGGCTAACAAGGTGAAACCCCGTCTCTACTAAAAATACAAAAAATTAGCCGGGCGCGGTGGCGGGCGCCTGTAGTCCCAGCTACTCGGGAGGCTGAGGCAGGAGAATGGCGTGAACCCGGGAAGTGAGCCGAGATTGCGCCACTGCAGTCCGCAGTCCGGCCTGGGCGACAGAGCGAGACTCCGTCTCAAAAAAAAATAAAAATAAAAATAAATAAAAAAATAAAAAAAATAAAATGCTGCATTTATCTAGCTAGTGATTATTAAAGAAACCTTTTTTTATTTTTTAAAATCTTATTTTAAAACAGTCAATTATTGAAATTATTCATGGATTTTGAATAATTACAAACACAATTGTGACTGTAATAAAATTATTTATATCATTAAAAACTAATATTAAATGTTGGCTGGTTAATACACAACAAAGGGCCTTAATGGTGTCTTTATGACTTGAACTCAAATGACCATTGCTGAATCTGTTCTGCACTTAACAGCCATATGTCCCCTGGTAAACAGTAACCTCTCCAAACCTCATTTGTCCAAGGTATAAAGTAGGTGCAATAATATCTGCCCTACTTTCTCCACTAGGTGTAATGAAGCTCAATAGATACAATGTGTATTAAAACACAGCTAAATCTCTATACACTCAATAGTTGCTGCTGTTTTGTTATGCAAATAAAGAGACATCTAGCTTTGGGGGAGCCTCCTTCTTTTACTCAGAAAATTGTTTTACAACCCCTACAAAAAAAGGAAAATAAAAAATAGCAATTGTAGGTCTTACAGTTGAGAAAATTTTACTAATGTAACTCATTATAATCTTCAATAGCATGTTCAAACTGTTTAATACTTCTTTACATAATTTAAAAGAAAGGGAAAAACAAAATAAATTTTAAAATATTTCCCATTTTAGGTAAAGCTCCAATGGAATCAATCATTACAGATGCAGAGAATATGCCTAAGAATTTTTTAATATGCTACTTGATATGCAAAAATGAAACTCTCTGAGACAGCATGTTGTCAAGCATCATTTAGTTTGGGAGGACTTTAAATGAATATTACAAAAAGAAGACTGGTCCTTTTTCCCTGAATGCAAAATACTTTCACTTACAGTTTAAAATATTTTAGCCATAATGGTGATATGATTTTAGTAGTATAGTTTTACTCTTTTGAAATTAAACAAATAAAGTTAAACAAAAGCTTTTAATAGTTTCAAGTTTATTTATTTTGTCTCCAAAAAGCTTTCCTATGTAAGACAATTATTTCCAAAGAATGAATTAAGAATAAATAGCTTTTCAAAAAAAGAATGATTCCCCCAGTTTATCACGTAATAAAATCTATTACCCCTGAAATCATTTCACTTAATTCTCACTTGCTCTTATATCCCATGCTCTATTCTGCTGAGTGAAATTTAATAAATCTCTCAGTTCAGGATTAAATTTTACTGTTTTATGAACTGTTAAATTACATTGTATTCTTATTAAAACTGGTGTTCTTTCACTCATAGACACATTCCCAACTGTACCCTGGGGCACAATTAAACAAACAGCAGAGATTTTGCTTTCAACATTGGAGTATCTTCCAACAGGGAGCAATGGATGAACACCAGCAAGTTATTTAACTATAAACAATGTGCACTTAATAATCCACATATGCTTTGAATTACATAAACTATATTTTAAGGAGGATAATATATCAAATGGATAATAATCCCCACATCATGCATTCTGGCTTAGTTATAGCAAGATAAGTACTGAAATACACTGAAAAAAATATTAAAATGCTTTAACTCATCATTTATACACTATACTTTATACTCAACCTACCTTCATTCATTTATTTATTTAATTTTTAATTTATTTTAAGGCAGGGCCTCATTCTGTTGCCCAGGCTAGAGTGCAGTGGTACAATCTTGGCTCAATGCAACCTCCCTCTCCCAGGCTCAAGCAACCCTCCCACCTCAGCCTCCCAAGTAGCTGGGACTAGAGGTGCTCACCATCACACCAGGCTAGTATTTTTTGTAAAGTTGGGATTTCACCATGTTGTCCATGCTGGTCTCAAAATTCCTGGACTCAAGCAATCTTCCTGCCTCAGCCTCCCAAAGTGCTGGTATTGTAGGCTTGTGCCATTGCACCCAGTTGTGATTATTTCTTAATGCCAAAAATAAAGCTAGCATTTATAATTCAGATATCAATTCTAAGCAGAAAAAAACTACTAAAATGGACAGACTGAAGTAAGTAAAAGACAAAACATTAGAGAAATTGCTTTTTTAAAAGAAATGAAGAAAATGTTATTTTCCATTTGCAGACCACTAGGGTAGACTTTTCAAACTGTACCTGGAAGGATCTCAATTCCATTAACACAGGATCTCCATGCCTGGATTTATGAAAGAGAGGCCTTAGTAACTCAGTTTGTGAAATTACTCATGTAGGAAGCCAGACTTTATTGTTTGAAGCTGGACTCTATGTCCTTAGGCGAATCGCTCATCCCCTTTGAACCTCAGTATACCAATCTATGAAATAGAATGATAATTGTATTTATCTCATCTGCATGTTGAGAAAAGAAGTTAAATGTATTCCCACTGTAAACTTTTAAATGAAATAATGCATGTAGAGTGCTTCACTAGACTAAACATCCAGGAAAACATAGTTATTATTATCACTATGTATAATTGTCCAATTTTGTTTACATTTTAATAATTTAACATATTCATGATTTTTCTTCCTTACTATATTGTTTTCCATGAAGAACTGAACTTTTAAATTTAAACTGAACTTAAAAATTTAAATACATTAGGTACTGTATAAATATTAATTGATTTATTTGTAAAATGGTTGCCTAAACCCCAATCCTCATGTTTAAAAATATTTTTCTTTTGATAGATAATGTAACAAGTGGCTCTAATATTCACCAGTTCAAAGGCCACAAAGCATAATAATCCAATAATATAATATCAATGAGAGGGCATATATTTTCTTTTCTCATTCCATGCTAACCATATATGTCCCATTTAAAGCTATTTAAAGCAAGATTTTTCTGGAACGTGAATCTCAACCACTAGAGTTTTTACAAAGTAATTACTTACAAGTTTCAGAAGGTCGCTTTTCAAAATTAAATGCATATCTAATAAGATGTCTTTGCTTTTAAGAATATCCATTTGATTTAGGAAGTGTGAGGATTAATTCTTAGTAAGTGCAATAGCAAAAAATGCCAAATTTTTTATCAAACTTCATGAAAATTGAATAAATTCATAAATATTGACTGGCAGACAAGACAACTCTGTATTTTAAACTAGTACATTAAAGCCTACTTGTCTAAGAAGTTGTAGTACTCTTGTATTTGCAGTTAATTCAACACCAAAAATAAATCTTATTTTTAATTTCAAATGGTCATTTAAAGAAATTATTTTCAGAGAGCGCTTGAATGTTTATTTTTATACCAAGCCCTTATAAACTTGTCCTTTATGAAGAGTTTATGGCAACCTTCAAAATGACGTTTAGTAGAACAGCCTCTGAGATTCATGATTGGCATGAAGGCTTTGCTTAGGAGAAAACGTATCTTTTAAACAGTGTTGGAATAAAATGTTTAAATGTTGTAAATGTAACCATTTATAAATGTAGATATTTCAGATTATTTTCAGATTATAAATGTAACCATTTATAAATGTAGATTATAAATGTAACCATTTATAAATGTAGATTATAAATGTAGATAAGAAACTTAATTTTCTAAGATACATTATCCAGATTCTGTTTAGGACAGTGGAGGGAAAGCCATGACTTAAACTTTGTTCTTTCTCCCTTGGTTCTTATTACTCCCTTTTGTTCTTGTGTGTGTTTGTTCTTGACTCTAATTTGTTTTCTAAATATCCCAGTGCCTCCCTCAGTTTAATTAATTTTCTAACTACTCCCTTAGGGAAACTTACCTCTTCTGCTCATCTTGTCTGAAACTGTGCAGCAGCAGCACTAACAAGGAATGGCATCATGTTGGCTTCAGATGTTATTAAACAACACAAAACCTGGGGGGGAGGGAGTTTTATACCACCTATAAAAGTCCTCTAGTATAAAACCTTTCTAATGAAGTGCCCACATGCCCACTCTTAACAGAAAGTATTCCTTATAAACATTTTCCCCCAGGAGTTAAAGTCTTGGCGTTCAACAACTAATTGAAAAAACACAATTTCCATTATAATAATGTTTCATAAAATTGCTTTCCTAGGATGAAATGCACTATATAAATCAGTTCTGTCAATAAACTAGACACATCTGTAAGAGAATAATATATTTCACAATATTTAGTTACCACTTTGTCATATTGTATTAATGTTACTATAGTGCTGCATCTGATACTGCTCTGTTCCAAATGTCAAAAACTTATCATACACACTTAGTAGATACACTTTTAAATTAGGTTTTTATTAGTGTGTGGTCTGATTTCTCATGTATCTGACGAGCTAAGGCAGATAACACACTAGTTTATCTGGAAGATGGAACTCATTTTCTCCCATTATATCTCCATGAGGAAAAATCTTCTCGAAAACTCTCTAGAGTCTAGACTAGGTAGAAAAGATTTTGAACTCATATAATATGGCTAGGAGTGAATTTAGAAATGATTTATGCGGCCGGGCACGGTGGCTCATGCCTATAATCCCAGCACTTTGGGAGGCCGAGGCAGGCGGATCACAAGGTCAGGAGATCAAGACCATCCTGGCTTAACATGGTGAAACCCCATCTCTACTAAAAATACAAAAAATCAGCTGGGCGTGGTGGCGGGCGCCTGTAGTCCCAGCCACTCGGGAGGCTGATGCAGGAGAATGGCGTGAACCCGGGAAGCGGAGCTTGCAGTGAGTCGAGATCGTGCCACTGCACTCCAGACTGGATGACAGAGCAAGACTCCGTCTCAAAAAAAAAAAAAAAAAAAAAAACCAAAAAGAAAAAAGAAAAGAAATGATTTATGCTAATCCTGTCATAAGGGACAGTGAGTTTAAGTGACTTGTTTTCATGTCTTTTCTTCTTGTTCCTTGCTTTCAGGATCAACCTGTTGGTGTCGGCCATTGGCCACAATTCAAGCAGAGTTAATTTTAAAAGGCTTCAAGAGTGCCTACATCGCTGAAAGGATCAAGTTCATATTCTCCCATGTGGATTATGAGGCCCTTCATAGTCCAGCCTCTTTTCATCTGTCTTTGTTTACATTCCGCTATCCCTTACTCCTCTGATTCCCATGATCCATCCATACCGAGTAACATTTCATTTCCTCACAGGAGCCAGGTTTTCTTACCTCTGAGCCATTGCACATATCGTTTCTGCTATCTGGATCACTCATCCCTCGTTCCCATAATCCAGTTCCTAGTTAGCATAGGCTGCACCTCCCTGATCATCCAGGATTTGAGTAAGGAGCCTCAGCTATGTGCTAACCTAGTACCCTGTCCTCCTTCACATAGCACTCATCACATTTTATGGATAGTAATTGCATGTGTGTCTATTTCCCTCGTGAGACTGAATGTTCTGTGGGGAAAAGGATTATAGCTCTTTTGGTTACATTTACATTATGATTGGTTAGCATAGGTCTACTGTAGGGTAAACACTTACAAAATATTAAGTAGATAATTGAAATGCCCCAAATCAGACAGCTACGTAAGACAGAAAATCTGAACTAGAATCCAGAACCCATATCCTAAATCATTTTACTGTCTCCTACAACATAATAGCTTTGTTTCCTTAAGCAACTTTGAGATAGAACAATCTAATTATGCACAAACATATCTCAGGCACATATTGCCTTTCAAAAGAGATTTACTTTGATACAAATTAAGATACCTTTTGGAATAAGATTGTGTTTAACATTTGTAAAAGCTAATTACATCATATGAATACTTTTACAACTAAGTCTTGAATTCTGAAAATACATAATAAAAGAAGATAAATCAATCACTTTACCAACATAAATTTTATGTAATCAATACTATATACTTATAGGAGAAGAAGTTATCTAAGAAATATTGTGATATTTCTTCTCCAGCAACTATTAATTGGATATTTTCTTCCATTTTTATTAAAAAAAGTAATTTATCTTTATACTTCATCCCATAGCTAAATCTATGTAAATTACAATATTGGATAGCTTCAATTAATTCAAAAACATTAATTAAAAGTTTTAAATGTAATATGTGGAACAGTCTTAAAAATTAATATAATTTTAATTAACAAATTATTGTATCCAGTAACATAAGACTGTATTTCAATTGATTTTATTTGTACTATTATTTTAATATATTCTATGCTACAAATATTTTATATTACTATACACAGTAGAAAACCCCAGCAATGCCTTATTAATATGTTGGAAAACTATCAATTATCATGCAGCAAAAATAGAAGACCCACATTTTCACTAATATTCTGTTCCTTTTTTTTCTTTTTTTGTCATATTAATATTAATATAAAACCTAACTGGTTAGTAATTATTGATGTTCAAAGAGTCCTTTAAAAGTAAAGACATAGAAATAAAATGAGTGTTCTTAAGTATATCTGGAAACAGTTAGTTACCTTTCATGGATTGTATTCATAATTACGTATCTAGTTCATTTTCCCCACAAAGACTTCATACTCTCCATAACTTACAATGCATCAGATTATATTGTGAGTTTAAATTCTAGATCTTAAGAAAGAACAAAATGATTTCTTCCTTTAAAATGCCCTTGCTTCTTAGGAAATCTTATTATATTCATAGGAATATTGCAGCAAAAGTGTTTTGGAAGTTGGACATGGTGATCGTGTTATTTTCTTTTTTTTTTTTTTTTTTTTGAGACGGAGTCTCGCTCTGCCGCCCAGGCTGGAGTGCAGTGGCAAGATCTCGGCTTACTGCAAGCTCCGCCTCCCAGGTTCACGCCATTCTCCTGCCTCAGCCTCTCCAAGTAGCTGGGACTACAGGCGCCCGCCACCACGCCAGGCTAATTTTTTGTATTTTTAGTAGAGACTGGGTTTCACCGTGGTCTCGATTTCCTGACCTCGTGATCCTCCCGCCTCGGCCTCCCAAAGTGCTGGGATTACAAGCGTGAGCCACCGCGCCCAGCCCGTCTTATTTTGTCTTGATTTAAAATATTCAGTTTTACCATATTGCAGACCAATAATTCAAAGTTTACCTTCTAATATAAGTTCTTTTGTCAGTTTGTATCATACGTCTAACAATATTTTCTCTTTCGGAGATTTGTGGAAATACATCTACAGTATTTTCAGGATGATATTTTAAAACTACTTAACTTTGTACAAAGCTTTGAATTTACTGTGTACTCTTACATATGCAATATTATTGCTCATATTTATTACAGTTACAACATATGTTCATGTTAGTATTGGTATTCTGAGACTCTTATGTTTGTTTTTGGAATAACGCAAATGACTACATAATATTCTAATTCTACCACTTCTGTTATCACTAAAAACCTAGATTTTTCACTGTCAGGGAAAGGAGATACAGACATAAAATAGAAGATTAAATTATTGTAGTTCTAAATTTGAGTTGGAATTATCAAAATAAACTCTTAATGGGTTTTATAATTTAAAATGAAATGAAATAAAATATTTTCCAGCTTTGTCTACAGAGAAGCCTATGAACTGTGACTAAGTCGAAAGCAATGAGTACCACAGTGCCTGTATTACAGTTTTGATGTAACAATTCCCACCGAAAGAAACCAAGCTACTTTGATAAACTGCTAATTTAGGGCTGGGGCAAAAATATATACAAGATAATTCTGGAAAATCGTGTTAATACTCAACAAAAGACACTATCAATGAGAAACAGGTCAGAGTCAAAATTATTTTGAGGCTCGTTGAGGAGGTTCACAATGACCAAAATAAAATAATTAAAACTCAAAAAGAACAATCATGGAAAAGAATTGAAGCACAATAAATATATTTATTTATAGTTTGTAATGATACAAAAATTAACATATAAGGTGTTGTAAGATGATAAAGAACCAATTTATCATTTTGAAAAGTGGTAAATAAAGGAAAATAAGCATTTATTTTTTTCTTTTCTACATGAAATTGTATGAATGGGAAACTAAATAGTACATAGGGAAGGTTTTTCTTTTAGAAATATTCCAGCTAATAAGTGAGGAGAAAGTGAAAGAAATAGAATCTCCTCATTTAGCCCCTAATGAATTAATAAAGCTAGATAGTGATCATCACTGGTTCCTAACATCACAAGAGACACAAACATTAACAACCTTCTGAGGGAAGAAGACAGTATCATCTATGAAGTAATTTTGCACGAGAACAAACAAACATATCCAACGTTAAGTGTGATTAAGCCTCTAGAACCAACCACCAATTTACAGAAAATATAGAGGACAGATGAACATGTTGAAGATTATCATGGGGTTGCAATCAGCAAAATCCAGATGGTAAAATAATGTCAACCTATTGTAATGGATGGACTTTATTTGAATCCCTATTCCAAAAACCCAATGGTAGGGGGGAAAAAATGAAGTTTGTAAGGCAATTGGAAATTAGATCATTGTATATTTGATGATGTTAAAAAGTTATTAGTTTATTTTAGGTAGTATTCTGGTATTTTGGTTATATATGGTTTTTAAAGCCCATATTTTTAGTAATACAAAACATAATATGTATCAATAAAATGATGTGATGTCTCGGATTTACTATGATATAAAATGGAAAAGTAAAGTGAGAAGGACAAAGAAATAAGATGCCATAGTGAGTTCATAATTTTTGAAACTAGGTAGAATACATGAGGGTTTGTTATTACTATTGTGTCTACTTTTGTACATATTTAAAATTCCCCATAATAAAAAGTAAAAATAAAAAAAAAAGAAATTTAGAAAATAGCTAGGTGTGGTGGCTCATGCCTGAAATCCCAGCACTTTTGGAAGCCAAGGTGAGAGAATCACTTGAGCCCGCAAGTTTGAGACCAGCCTGGATAACATAGTGGGACCCCCATCTCTACAAAAAATTTAGAAGAAATAGATACATAAATAAGAAAAAAGAAATTTAGAAAATAGAGGTGACCTTACAAATTTACAGTTAGTACATGGTAAAAGAGGGTCTCAATGTTTTGCTTCAAAATATAGTACTTTTTTCACTGTACCACAATATCTCACAATGATGAGAGAATTTAAAATTATCTACAAATTAACTGGCAGTATTTTGAACCATTTGCCCTGTTAATTCTAGAAAAGTCATGAAATGTAAGTTAAAAAGCGGTGAATGAAATAGCCAGTGGGCCTGAATGAAAGAACATGGAAAGTCTATTATTCCTCTACCAAGCTCCTGTCCAACTGCAGCTAATCCACAAGGCTTAACCTAACCCTCTATATAGTTACAACCCTTCTCTTTCTCTCTCTCTCTGAGCATTCAGCTACTAACTTTCCCAAATCAAGGAGTCAGAAACTACAGAAAAATAATTGCATAATTCTCCCTGAATGCTTTTTCTTGCTATAGCATTGAGATATTGATAAGTCTTGTTACTATAGCTTGTGCTATAGATATGTGCAATAGGCATGCTGCTTTGTCTGCCATTAATCAGCTAGCCATGGAAGAAATACTAGCTATGCCACTGAGAGGACAAAGGATTCCTCTACAAGGTTTGATGCTTTTATTTACCTTACTATTCCCAATGAGTATGATTGAATGGTTTTCAAACACATTTATCTGGGCCTCGGTGAGAAGGGTAAAATAAAGGAAGCATCATGGACACATCACAAAATCTGGCTCTTCAGAAGGGCAGCAGTATTTATTGTGATTACAGAGAAGGGACTTTGGAGTCTAAGAAACTTATGTTCAAATCCTAGCCCTGTCACTTACCTTCTGTGTAACACTGGCCAACTTGGTCCCTTTAAGCCTCAGTATTCACAAGAGCAAAATGGTAAAAATAATACCTCAACCGGGTAATTATGAAGGCTACATGAGGCAACTTTAGGTACGATATTTATCATAGAAACTGGCACACACTGCTGGGTGCAGTGGCTCATGCCTATAATCCTAGCACCTTGGGAGGCCTAGGCAGAAGGATCACTCAAGGTCAGGAATTCAAGACCAGCCTGGCCAACATGGTGAAACCCTGTCCCTACCAAAAAAAAGTAAAAATTAGCCAGGCATGGTGGCGAACATCTGTAATCCCAGCTACTTGGGAGGCTGAGGCAGGAGAATCAGTTGAACCTGGGAGGCGGAGGTTGAGGTGAGCCGAGATTGAGCCACTGAACTCCAGCCTGGGCATCAGAGTAAGACCCTGTCTCACACAAAAAAAAAAAAAAAAAAAAAAAGAAACTGGCACACACAAGTTTTCAGTAAGCAATAGTTAGCTTGTGTTGCTACTGCTGTTGCTATTAAAAGAAACCAAGAAGTTAGAAATATTGAATAGTTGCCTTGATTTAGGAGTCTTGCTTATTTACCAAAAAGAGAAAATCACTTTTCTCCATACAGGTCATACAGAAGTAAAATGCATAAATTTATGAAAAATGTCCATTTTTTAACCCTCATTGATAGACTACTATCATCATTTTTAGGAAGGAAACGCACATGTCAGGCTTTATTACCAGACCTCAGACCAGGTTTTAGGCCAGGCTCTGGAACTAGGAACTGGATAATGGCTGTGGACAATTTATCTAACTTCTCAGATTTTCAGCTTTAAATTCTGCTTAGCAAAAATAATACTTCTGGCCAGGCGTGGTGGTTCATGCCTGTAATTCCATCAATCTGGGGGGCCGAGACAGATGGATCACTCAAGGTCAGGAGTTCAAGACCAGCCTGGCCAACATGGTGAAATCTTGTGTCTATTAAAAATACAAAAATTATCTAGGCATAGTGGTGGGCACTTGTAATCCCAGTTACTCGGGAGGCTGAGGCCGGAGAATCGCTTGAACCCAGAAGGCAGAGGTTGCAGTGAGCCGAGATCGCACCACTGCACTTCAACCTGGGTGACAGAGGCAGACTCTGTCTCAAAAAATAAATCAATATATAAATAAAATAATACTTCCTTTGTTAAGTGTAAATTTAATAATGTACATAAATTTGTTTTCTTATTCCAGGTGCTTAATAAAAGTTAGTTCCTTTTCTTTGCCCTAATTCAATTCCTTTAAAATAAGAAAGATGAAAAGCCAGATTTAAATTACTGCACTTGTTCTTTCCAAGCAATTGCAAATTTAGTATTTACTGTCAGGCTAAAATGTTGGAGTTTTTCTAAGCCAATGTCTTCTTCCTAGACAAAATAAAATTATCTTTAAAAATGTTTAATATATGTATATATATGTTTTATGATGTAACATGTATAATGAATCAGAACATAATTTGTAAGTCAATACATGTACATATATTTTGAGTGATAGTCAATCAAACTGCTGGAGACAATTGTCCTGGCGAATAGTCTCAGTTTCTTATTCAACATTTTTTCAACAGCTGTAGAGTATCAGATACTGTGATATATACTGGTGATACATAAATCAATAAGCCTGCACTAGCAGGACTCAGAGTCTGGTGGAAAAAGATAAATTTATATAAATATTTATAATGTAAATAATGAATTAAATACTACCTAAATTGAACCATATGTAATTATAAATATCAACCATTTTTTACCAAAAAATGGCAATTTGATATGGTTTAATTAATATACTTAATGTCCTTTTTAATGTCTTTTAGCTGTCCCAGAATTTCCCAACATTAATTTGTCCTTTAATTTAACAAGGATGATTAACTCCCAGAATACAAATTTTATCACTACTAAATAATTTTTATTTAATTATCTGTTTTGTGCTAAATTGATGAAAGGAATTATAGAACCAAATTATGACTGTATTTCATGACTTTCCCTAACAGAGAATGCATCTTAGTCTACTTCATTTCTAACAACCTCCAGAATAAGAAATAGCTTATTCTGACATTTTTATTAATTTGACTGCATGAATATCTTTCAGATATGTACTTTCCATTTTTAACATCATGTTATAACTTAACCCAACCAAGATTGCCCCTTGTTTTACATGGTAGTGACTGCAGTAACATAATTTTGCTTATTTTTACCTAAAATATGAACATTTTCAGGAGAAATTCTAGCAATTGCAATGTCAGTTCCCTTTGGCTGCTATCTCTTTCTGATTTGGCACTATTTGAAATCCTCCTGCAGAGACTCTGGCTGTTGGCCTCTATAGCACACGGCCTGCCAACCACAGAACAAAGTAAGATAAGATTGTTGTGAAATAATACCCAAAGATAAAGTCTGTTTTGCAGTTTTCTCTCTTTCATGAGCTGTGACCTCAAAGATGGCACAGTATGGGATACTCTTTCCCTCTATTTTTATCAATATTTAATTCTTATTTAGTAATTCTGATATAATTTAAGTCATCCAAATAACAATGAATGATGCATCTACCAATATTGTCTATAATGTTGTTATAAAATAGTGCTATTAATCTTTGAATTATTTCAGAAATATATTAATATTGACTCAATAAATTAAGATGTACATATATCTTAATTTTATTACAGATATAAAACATAGAAATTCCAAAACATACAAAAATTCAGATATTAATTACTTAGGATGAAATAACAGTTTATTTTCAGAAAAGAATGAAGGCTATCTAATTGAACAAAGCTAGTCATTCACCAAGGAGAATGAGTAAATTTTATGTAGACTTGACATGGCCAAACAGAAAAGCCATTGCCTTTCTGCAGCATGTATCCAGGACATAATGGAAAAACTGCCAAGCCTTATCACACCTGCTGACAACTATCCATGCCTGCTGATTCATGTGGGTATGAATGATGCCATCATAATACACATGCAAACCATTTTTAGAATTCATGACATCCTAGGCAGAAAGCTAAAGGGTTCCTTTAAAGGGTTCCAAGTGTTAAAATTCTTCCTCCCATTCAATGTGTGATTTAGGAAAGGAAAAATGCTGAGCAGCTGGTTATATAGATGGTGGCAGAATCATGATTTAAGATACCAAACTTGGTGGGGATTTGTGACTTAGAAAGTATTTTCAAAGGGACACGGAAGACTTATTTCTCTGGTGAACTGCTGATCTAATTCAGAAGATTTAAACATAAAATTTATGGGAAAATAAAAATAATATTAAAATGTTAACAAGGGTTATAAAAATATAATAGATATGACACAGATAGAAAAACATTAGGGAATTTCCCAAAGCATTCATAGGAGAACACAACCATATTACAGAAAATACCTTTGTCCTCCCATAACTATATATCAACAAGCGGGGTATTACAATAAAGAATATATGGGTGTGTTTGGGAGTATATATGTGTGTGTGTGTGCATACACATATGCACATATGTATTTACAAAGGGAAACTGAGGGATTCAATATTAGAAAGTGGAAGTGAAAATGTATATCTTAATAGAACAAACAAGTCAATTTGAAGAAGAAAATGGGTAACAAAATCTGTCTTATCCACTGAGACAAAAATTTGAAGGTAGGCCAGGCGCAGTGGCTAACTCCTGTAATCCCAGCACTTTGGGAGGCTGAGGTGAGCTGATTAGTTGAGGTCAGGAGTTCAAGACCAGCCTGGCCAACATGGTGAAACCCTGCCTCTACTAAAAATACAAAAATTAGCCAGGCATGGTGGAACATGCCTGTTATCCCAGCTACTCAGGAGGCTGAGGCAGAAGAATCAATTGAACCCAGGAGGCAGAGGTTGCAGTGAGCCGAGATCATGCCACTGCACTCCAGCCTGGGCAAAAAGTAAGACTCTGTCTCAATAAATAAATAAAATATTTGAAGGTAGCAGGATGTTAACAATAAGACTGGAATCTAAGTTGCACTATTTGTGAGGATGATATACACTACCTGGTTAGATGATTAAAATAGATGACTATTCTGTATTTATACCACCAAATGCTAGAGAGATTAGTTAGACAAATGATAGAAAGGAGACAGAAAAAACAGTACTCAATTCTCCTAGAATTATTATTCAACTAAATAAATTAATTTCTTCACTTGCCTAGCTGGCTGGCAATTTAATGCCTCAGACAACAGAGAAAGCAGTAAAGTTACTTTGGGTCAATAAGGAAAAACTCGTGGTGAAGTTGGAATGATGAGACTCCGCGAAATATAATTTGTTATCTTGACATTCTGAATAATCTTGGGGAAGGGTGGTTAGGAGACGAGAATTGTGGGATATAACCATACATTTAGTTCAAGCTTTAAGTCATATTTCAAAACTTTCAGAAAACAGAAAGACCTAAGATTCTCATATGGTGAAATAGCTCAATCACAAAATATTAAAATGGAGTTATTTAAAAATTGAAGTGTTACAATATTAAATGATCCTGATGAGGAGAGAAACTGGGAAACATCTAAAAATATAGCTGCAGGGAGAGCACCCTGAAGAGCTAAGGTGTTAAAAGAACACTGACAACAGAAAAAGAAAAAATAAACATGGCTAATTTTTTTTCTTAGTTTTAATTTTGTAATGGGCATGAAATTTTGAGACTAGTTGAAAGAAAACTAAATTTTATACTGTGATTTCATATTGCCCATCTATTATTCATACATAAAACGTTTCTCAAAAAATATATATAAAATATTTCTCAATCCATCTCAACGAGAATACCAAAAAGCCTTTATAATATGTATAACTTGGCCAGGTGCTTTTTAAGCAATACATGACTGTATTGGTAATCATCAATAGAATGCCAGGCCCATCATGCTCAGCTGTTTTCTATGAGGGTCTGATCAAAAGTCCAGCCCATGTAACTGATTCTTCATAGAGTACTCAATGTGATGTGAAGGTTATTCATTCTGATATATTCCCTAAAGTGTATAAATCCAAAATTTTGATCTCCAAATCTAGATCAGGTTTATATTTCGCTACCAATAGTTATCCTTTCACTGAATAACAAGTTGATATACCTTCAGCTTTTTATCAAAAATTGAAAAAAACTAAATTACTCCATGAAGAATGTTAAGATCATGTTGTTTATTAATCCTTATGTTAGCATTCATTTAATAAATTTTTTACAACATGAAAAAATATCTTTTCAAATGGACAAATATAATAAATAATTTCCCTTTAGTTATGGGAATTGCCTAAAATACTTTGCTTGCTTTTTGCCTTACCTACAAGGAAGCTTAGAATTAAACAGTGCTCACAATTTGCAGTTGCAAACATATGGAACCAGCCCATATGCCCATCAATCAACAAATGGATTAAGAAACTGTGGGCCAGGTGCAGTGGCTCTTGCCTGTAATCCCAGCACTTTGGGAGGCCAAGGTGGGCGGATTACCTGAGGTCAGGAGTTCGAGACCATCCTGACCAACATAGAGAAACCCCATCTCTACTAAAAATACAAAAAAATTAGCCAGGCATAGTGGTGTGTGCCTGTAATCTCAGCTACTCGGGAGGCTGAGGCAGAAGAATCGCTTGAACCCAGGAGGCAGAGGTTGCAGTGAGCTGAGATCGTGCCATTGCACTCCAGCCTGGGCAACAAGAGTGAAACTCCATCTTAAAAAAAAAAAAAAAGAAAAAGAAAAAGAAATTGTGATATATATATATATATATATATATATATATATATATGCGCGCACGCACACACACACACACACACACACCATGGAATACTACTCAGCCATAATAAAGAATGAAATAATGGCATTCATAGCAACCTGGATGGAATCGTGGAATTGGAGACCATTATTTTAAGTGAAGTAACTCAGAAATGGAAAACCAAACATCGTATATTCTCACTAATATGTGAGAGCTAAGCTATGAAGAGCCAAAGGCATAAGAATGACACATTGGACTTTGGAGACTCAGAGGAAAGGATAGCGGTTGGCAAGGGATAAAAGACTACATATTGCTGGCTGGGCACGACGGCTCATGTCTGTAATCCCAGAACTTTGGGAGGCCGAGGCGGGCGGATCATGAGGTCAGGAGATCGAGAACATCCTGGCCAACATGTTGAAACCCCGTCTCTACTAAAAACACAAAAAATTAGCCGGGCGTGGTGGCGGGCGCCTATAGTCCCAGCTACTCAGGAGGCTGAAGCAGGAGAATGGTGTGAACCTGGGAGGTGGAGCTTTCAGTGAGCCGAGATCATGCCACTGCACTCCAGCCTGGGCAACAGAGTGAGACTCCATCTCAAAATAAAAAAAGACTACATATTGCTACAGTGTACACTTCTCAGGTAATGGATGCACCAAAATCTCAGAAATCACCACTAAAGAACTTGTTCATTTAACTAAATACCACCTGTTCCCAAAAAACCTATTAACGTTTTTTAAAAATTAATAATACTCATATTAAGCAAATATAATGGCTACCTAACACTTGCTTTAAGTATCTGAAATTTTTAATTATTTTTAAAGTAAGAAAAAATATGGAAGTGATAGGACATACTACATAGGGCACTTGTTATCATGAATGAAATTGAGGGTTGATGTTATTTTTAAAGACCAGAAGGAGAATACAAGACCACACAACTCCATTTTGATTACTTTCTCTGTGGTAAGGAGAACAAGGTGTAGATAAAAGACTATGGAAAAAACTATGGAAGGAAGCCTCTAAAGGCCAAGATAAAGAAGCATTAGGAAGACAGCTATTAGCTGGTCTAAATAAGTTTCCATATAGAAGTGAATTGCATCCCAACGTGTTAAGAAATTTTTCATATAAGATGGATTAAACCCTGCTTAAAACAAGGGCTGACCTGATTAGGCCCACCAAACTTAACCCATCTGGCTTGCTTTTAGCTGCTTGCTTCTAGTTGATTTTAAAACTTATATAGCTAAAAGTCACATAGCTAAGCGATATAAACTAAACTTTTCCTAACTTTCTTATAACATCGCTGAGGTGTAGGTCACCATGGTAACGATTGTTTAAGTTGTTTTTCAGGAACTTGGTCAGCTCTTGTCCAATGCAAGCTGGTTGAAACCACTAACCCTCCAGTTGGGCTGGTGTAAATGTCCAATAGGTGACCTTTTGTTGTCCAGGGACTAAAAACTCCACCCTAAAATCATGCTAACAAATACCATTTTGTAAACATGATTCCCGTAAAGAGCCACGAAGCTTGACTATGCTCGTATAGATCGCCAGTTACCTCACTTTTCCTTAATCTCTCTAAACCAAAAATAAAATTCTAATCTCCCCCTGTCAACCATGTGAATGGACTTCGTCCTCAGCCAGGGCTCTTAAAATTTAACCTGAGAGACGGTTTTAGGCCATGATGGGAAGTGGGGGGTCTAGCATGCCTCATTATACCTCTCCGGCATTAACATCAACACAGACTTTAAGTATGATAAAAAACATTTTACAGCCTATTCTCTTTGAAACCTGCTAGCTAAAAGCTTCATCTGCATGGTAAAACTTTGGTCTCTACAACCACTTATCTTAACCCAGATATTCATTTCTATTGATCCCAGGTCTTTAGACAAACTCAGCCAATTGTCAACTAAAAAATGTTTCAATTTATCTATAGCCTGGAAGCCCTTGCCTCAAATTGTCCCGCCTTTCTGGACCAAACCAATGCATTTCTTAAATGTATTTGATTAATGTCTCATGCCTCCTTAAAATGTATAAAACCAAGCTGCACCCCGACCACCTTGAGGACGTGTTCTCAGGACCTCTTAAGGGCTGTGTCATGGGCCACAGTCACTCATATTTGGCTCAGAGTAAATCTCTGCAAATATTTTACAGAGTCTGACTCTTTTTGTTGACACCTCAATCATCTTACCCCACACCTTAGTCCACCCTGATTCTTTATCCCACAAATATCCCTAAACCACATCTTCAGGAGGCAGATTTGAGACCTGTCCTCTCACCTCCTCACCTGGCTGCCTCATGAATAAACTCTTTCTCTGCTGCAAACTTGTCACCTTAGTGATTGGCATACTGCGTAACAGGCACACCAGGCCTGGTTCACTGTCACTGCTAGGAAGCTAAAAACTATTAAAAAGATATACATTTGCTTTTTCCAAAAATAGAAAAAAGTATATTCTGATAATCTTCTTAAGCAGAATTGTATGATAGCTTATTAACCTCAGTAGAAGTCTAAAGAGAGGCTGTTACCACTAGGGCATATTAAGAACAGTGTGGTATAACAGAGTGTTGACCTTGGAGTCAGGTAAACCTGGGCATACTCCCAGCTTTGCTATTTATTAGCTGTTAACTTTGGACACATTACTTGGCCCTGGTAAATAAAACTGGGACATAATGAGCACTCAGTAATGCCATGCTTAAATTATTTGCTTTTTTGGTGTAGTTGTGTGTCATTTTCTCATTTTAAGAGTTATCACATGTAAAGAGATCACGGTTTAGCATAAAGATTATTTTCAAGTGAAAACATTTGAGCTACAGAAAATGAAAAAGAAATCTTATCTGAACATCCCTTATCTGATTAAAGCAGAATGTCCTGAAAATATAGCTCCCATTAACTCCCCTGCAAGGAATTTCCTGTGAATTCAGCTGCCATGGAGACAGGCTTCCTATTCTCATTAGCATCAAAAAGCCCAATAAACTTTCCATACGTTTCCACTGATGCCCTTTTAAAAAAATACATTTTGTTAAAATGGTATATAAAATGTTAATTTTGAGGATTCAGTGAGTTACTCATCACTGAGTACTCCTGAGGGTTTGCAATGTACATATACATAAACACTGTCTTTTATTCTGCTAATCTATCTATCGTCAGTTAACTCTCAGGACCCCAACCATTTGAACCTAAGATCATAGAGGAAAAGTTTCTTCCTAACAGATGAATTCTGCAGACAAGTGTATCTGGATTTCAACAGAGAACTTAAGAAAACTCTAGTAATAGTTGGTCTATTTGAGTGGATTCCTTATTATTGAATATTTGGTAGTTCTTGACCCTATTTCCCATTAGAATCATTTGGTGAATTATTTAAAATTCCAACACTTAGGCCATACCTCAGTCCAAATTATACAGTCAAGGTTGACAACCAGTGTCCTCAGGGAAATTTCCTAGTTGCATACTTGCATGCTTGTGGCTTTCCCTGACCTTGTCCTCCTCAAAGTAGTGGTTGTATTTTATTTGTTTATTGTTTCTGTTTTTTACCTTGAGTGAGAAGCATAAAAGCCAATTAAATTTGCAGATGTCAGGCTGATATAGATTGGATAATTGTCCCCTCAAAAATCTCATGGTGAAATGTGATCCCTAATGTTGGAGTGGGATCTAGTGGGAGGTGTTTGGGTCAGTGGGCAGAACCCTCATGAATGGCTTCGTGCTTTACCCATGCTAATGAGTAAGTTCTTGCTCTATTAGTTAACAGGAGAGCTAGAGGTTAAAAAGAACCTGGCACCACCCCCTCTTGCTTCCTTTCTTGCCAGCCGGCTCCCCTTCCTTTTCTGCCATGATTGAAAGTTTCCAGAGGTCCTCACAAGAAGCAGAGGCTGGCTGGAGCCAAGCTTCTTGTACAGCCTGCAGAACTGTGAACCAAAGAAGCCTCTTTTCTTTATAAATTACCTAGCCTAAGGTATTCCTTTATAAAAACACAAAACAGACTAATACGTATGTTTAAACATGGGGTCAAACCTAACAAAGAAAAACAAGAGCAAAAGTTACGTTCTGAACATAGCTTAAAAATAAAGTGAAAATAACCACTACACAAATGTAGAATGCAGTTGTGGACTTAAAAGCATTAGTTCTCCTCTCCCCCTTTTCCTTTTAAAAATTGCTGTTATTGGGTATAAATAATAATGAACATTTCTGTTTTTCATCTGCCATGCACTGTTAACAACCTTCCTATATGTTACTTCAATTAGTCCTCACAACAACCTCAGGAACAGGAAATACAATGCTATTTTATAGCCAAAGAACCACTCAGAAACATGGAGTATTTGGGAAGGATAAGCCAGTGCAGAGAGCAGGGATTTAACACCAGATCCGGCCAGCTGAGCCAGTGTCCCACACTATACAGCCACAGCAGATTTGGACTGGGTTGGATCTGCCAAAAAGCTGCTGGGAATTTAGACTCCAACTTAACTTTGAGTCAAACATGAATTCTCAACTCAGGCAATCGCTTTCCCTTTCTCCACCATATCATTCCCAGAGAGCAAAGTTGATTCTGCGGAGGGCAGGGGATAAATCTGTGATGTTAGCATTTCATAGGTGAGCAACTACGAAAACAATGTCTATAAAGGCTCTTTGAGGGTGGGGGATGATCATGAAAAAAAAAATCCCTGCTCCAAAACCACAGATTTAACAGCCTCCTTATACTTTTCGGGTTAGGCCATGTCTTACAGAAAATTGTGTGAGGTTTGCAGTGAAACATGACACATACTGGCAAACTGGAGGGAGATTTACCAGGATAGCACAGGGGCCTGCAATTTTTAAGTAGGTTAGAGGAGAAGAAACATCAAGTGATGGAAACAGTCACAATTGTGGCTCCTCAACTTCAAGAATATCTGAGAAATATAAATCTTCCTTATAATTACCTAATTTTTTAAAGAAAAAATATAACATTTTAAAAGATTATCTTACATTTGCTATATCATTTCTTCATTAAAAACAATGAAATAAATTAAGAAGGTAGACTAGTCCTTATTTAAGAGAAGCTGCCCAGAGGTGAAGTACTTTGCCCAGGGTCCTTGAGCCAGTCAATAACAGAGCCTGAACGAGAACCCAAGTGTGCTACTCACCGTCCACTGCTCTTTCATTTATCACAGTGTCACAGCATTTCCCATTAAGAGTCCTCACAATTCTGAAACCCACAAAAATGGCAGACCAGCTATAAGATAGATTGAATAATGTAATAAACAAAAATTAATGGAAGAGTTTTAAATAAATATACCCTCCAATCACCCACTGAGGGCCTATGTGATTTATTGATGTTCGTGTTCTCCAGTGGCAGAAACAAGAGAGTAAAATCAATAGCATGCGATAGTCCATTTGAAGTTATTAATGTTCTATTCAGTTGAGAAACTTGACATATTCAAAAAAATCTTACTGTGACTGTGACATTTTGTAAATAGTCAAGAACCAGAAATAATTTAATCATGTAAGTAATACATCAGGCTCTTGCCTTAATTAGCAATTCCATAGACAGGTTTAGAGTGAATGATAGACATCTGTTAAAAGAGAAACAAGGCTTCTACATCTGTGCGCTATGCAGACTGCTGTCCTTGAGAAAGCTTTAGAACCCTTGCTCCTGCTGCCACTCTTACCACAGTCCCGTTTTCTATTTTACTTCACAGCACTTATCATCACTAATATTGTGTTATGTTATTTTTCTTTATTGTCTTTCTTCTCTCTCAAACTGTGGTTCTTTACACAGGGTGATTTTGCCACCCAAGAGACATTTATTTGGGCCCTATCAGCGTATATTAGGTAGAGAACAGGGATGTCACTAAACATCCAACATTACATAGGACAGTCCCCCACAGCAAAGAGTTATCTAGCCAAATTGTCAGTAGTGCCAAGGTTGAGAAACCCTGGTCAACAATGTCAGATTTGTGAAAATAGGGACTCTTGCTTAATATTTACCATATAAATGAATGAATGGATGAGTGAATGAATGAGACCAGTGTCTCAAAGGATAAAGTAGGAATGGGATAAAAAAAGCTGTGAAGATAGGGCAGGTGGGAACACTAGAACAATCCTCAGGGGAAAAATACAAAACTGCAATTTGCATATAGTATCTAAGTACAAAGTCTGAAAATAGGCAAAAGTTGACATTGTAATATCAACTACTTAAGAATTTTCTCCATGTAACTTTAAGCTGCTTCTGAAAAGAATTAAAGAGAGAGATTATTTTCAGGAGTATATATACATATATACATGTAGTTGACAATTACAATTACAATTGACAATTACAATTACAATTGACATTTGACAATTGTCAATTACAATTGACATTTGACAATTGTCAATTACAATTGACATTTGACAATTGTCAATTACAATTGACATTTGACAATTGTCAATTACAATTGACATTTAATGTGTCAATTGTATATTTTTTCCTATGTTAGGATAATTTCCTAATTATTCCTCACAATGGTTTAATACCAAGTTACATATTAGAAGAGTTTTGTCTGTTTCTCTTCACTAAGAAAAAAAAGAAGACATATGTCTCAATCTCTATCTTCTTAGGCCTGATATTTGTAAGTAGTCAATAATTCATTTGCCTCCAGAGCTCATTTAATTATTCTCATCCTAAATATCCTGTTGACATTGAAAATGTTTCCTGATTTTAATCAATTCTGACATGAATTGATTTTTGTTCAACCTTTTCTTTCACAATGCACCATTCTCTTTCACATCTACAGCCAAAAAAACCAAAAGCCTATAAAAAATCACTTTGTAGACAGATGTAAAAATCAACATAAAAGCAATAAAAGTTGAAACGCTCATTAAAACATAGTGCAAACCTAAAGATCAAATGTAGTCATGGTTTCATTACATTTTTCACCATGATACCATGTGATATTGTTTGGATCTGTGTCCCCACCCAAATCTCATCTTGTAGCTCCCATAATTGCCACATGTTGTGGAGGGACCTGGTGAGAGATCATCAAATCATTGGGGCGAGTCTCTCTCCTGCTGTTCTTGTGATAGTGAATAGGTCTCATAAGATCTGATGACTTCAAAAATTAAGTTTCCCTACACAAGCTCTCTCTTTTTGCCTGCCACC